>NT_187613.1:300000-391357 GCF_000001405.40 Homo sapiens | reverse complement strand
GAATTCATGCTGTGGATGGTAGGAACTGGTGAAACAGTTTGTCTTGGGGAGTAGGTGCCTGGGTGGAGTGCATCCGTAAGTGTGAAAGGACCTCGGGTCCAGCACTTGGAAATAAGATGGTGCCTCCTGTTACCTGCTCATCCGACCTGTTGCGCTAGTGGGTGGAGGGGGGCATAAAACGTGCTTCATTTTGAAGGCGTGGGACAGAAGCTAGGGTGGTAATAGTTTGTGATACTCCCTCGAGGTAGTGAAGAGCTACATGCCAGGCTGGCAGCTGGGCCAAGCCACTTCTGGAGGTAGCGTGAGACTGCTGATGGCCCTGTTGCTCAGGCTGGTGTGCAGTGGCTCCGTCATAGCTCACTACAGCCTCACTGTATGACCCAGGCTGGGCTTGCACTCCTGGCCTCAACAGATGTCTCCCTAAAGATTGGTTAATCAGTTTTTAAAAATAGAGAAAAAAATAAAGAGATCCTCCTGCCTCAGCCTCCCAAAGTGCTGAGATTACAGGTGTGAGCCACCGCACCTGCCTGACCACAGAACTTTTGAGAAGCATCTTGAGATCCTGTGGAATTTTCTCTGGGAAACGGTCCAGTGGGCTCTGGATTTGAGGATGAATTGAAAATTGCTGAAGGAATTTGGAGAATTGGTTGCTTTTTATTGAGCACCTATAATGTACGAGCCACTTTTTCTTTTTTTTTTTTTTTTTTTTTTGAGATGGAGTCTTGCTCTCACCCAGGCTGGAGTGCAATGGCATATTCTCGGCTCACTGCAAGCTCTGCCTCCCAGGTTCAGGCAGTTCTCCTGCCTCAGCCTCCCCAGCAGCTGGGACTACAGGCGTGCACCACCATGCCCAGCTAATTTTTGCATTTTTAGTAGAGATGGGTTTCACCATGTTGATCAGGCTGGTCTTGAACTCCTGACCTCAGTGATTTGCCTGGCTCTGCCACCCAAAGTACTGGGATTACAGGCGTGAACCCCCACGCCCAGCCTCTAGCCACTTTAGGAACTTTATTTATTAGATAGGTATTTGACCCCATTTTGCAGAGTCGGGGGTGAGGCACACAGAAGTTAGGTAACTCAGACAGCTAGAAAATGAGAGCCACAATGCACCAAACCTGCAAAGGACCGTCCTCATACCCACCATCTTTAGAACATTCTATTTGCTTAGGAGACCATATATCTTCTCAGATGGAAACCAGTGGCCTTCTGTCGCCCAGGCTGGAGTGCAGTGGCGCGATCTCTGCTCACTGCAAGTTCCGCCTCCCGGGTTCAAGCGATTCTCCTGCCTCAGCCTCCCGAGCCAGTGGCCTTTTTAGCGTTTTGTATTGGTGGGTATTTATCTAAGCAACCCCTGTAAATACCACAGGCAGAGAAGGAAGGGAGGGAGCAAGAATTGAGGAAAAAAGGGAAAAGAGGGCCGGGTGTGGTGGCTCGCGCCTGTAATCCCAGCACTTTGGGAGGCTGAGGCTGGCTGATCACTTGAGGTCAGGAGTTCGAGACCAGCCTGGCCAACATGGCAAAACCCTGTCTTTCCTAAAAATACAAGAATTAGCCAGGTGTGGTGGTGGGCGCCTGTAATCCCAGCTACTCGAGAGGCTAAGGAAGGGAGAATTGCTTGAACCCAGGAGGCAGGAGGCAGAGGTTGCAGTGAGCTGAGATCGCACCACTGTACTCCAGCCTGGGCAACAGAGGGAGACTCCGTCTCAAAAAAAAAAAAAAAAAAAGGAAAAGAGAAAGTGCTGTGAGATCAAGGAGAGCCTGGCCCGCTCTTGTAGACCCGTCAGAAGTGATTGGGCCTATTTTAGCCCACAGAGCCCTCAGGTGTTCTTCATGAAACCTTCAGGGAGGGAGTGGCCTTGTAAAAATGGTCGTAACCTGAGGCTTGAAATGCTTGGAAGGCTTAGAAGTAACGGGCTGAGCAGGTACCGAGAAGCTGAAAGGATATCCTCTCCTTGCATTGATTTTGATTTCCGTTTGTGTGACTTCCTAACTCCACGTTCAGAATCCAGCACAGGGTGATGTAGAACAAGTCATTGAGGTTTTCCAAGTCCCAGATAGCTATGAGAATCCTGTCGTTGCTTCTGTTCTCTAGACTGGCTGACTGTGCCTCCTTCCTTTCCCGCCCTTCTATTTCCTGCCTTTGGCTGTTTGTGGTTGGAAGGAGAGGAAAGAGAGAAAAGGAGCCGGAACACACAGCCATGGTGAGGTTTGGGCTTATCTGGGACTTATGTGTGTTCTGTTCTCCTCCCTTCCTTCTGGAGTTTGGATCAATGAAGCTTGATGGCCCCCAGCAGTTCACAGAAACGGGCATTTCTCTGTGAAATTATTACAGTGTCAGAATAGAAAAATAATTTATAAGTAAAGTACATCAAAGGTTTTCCGTGGCGTTTTGCTTACGTTTCTGTGTCTATTGGGATTGCCAAACAAAAAGAAAGTCACGGCCGGGCGTGGTGGCTCACGCCTGTAATCCCAGCACTTTGGGAGGCCGAGGCGGGCGGATCACGAGGTCAGGAGATCGAGACCATCCTGGTTAACACGGTGAAACCCCGTCTCTACTAGAAATACAGAAAAAAAAACCCGGGCGTGGTGGCGGGCACCTGTAGTCCCAGCTGCTCGGGAGGCTGAGGCAGGAGAATGGCGTGAACCCAGGAAGCGGAGCTTGCAGTGAGCCGAGATGGCGCCACTGCAGTCCAGCCTAGGCGAAAGAGCGAGACTCCGCCTCAAAAAAAAAAAAAAAAAAAGTCATAGTGAGCCCAGTTCACGCTATTGTGGCATTTGACCAAGAAGAGAATTAAACCTGCTTCCTACCTTTGCGCCAGATGATCTGCCAAGTTTTCTCTCACTCATCTTTCAGAGCGACTTGGCTTAGTAGTCTCATTTGTTCTTTCCCCGCCAAAATGTATTTCGCTCGGCCTGCTATGGTAACAGTGGCTGGCAGGGGGTGGTTACCTTCCTTCTTCCAGTGGAGAGAGTACCTTGGAAGTGTTCACAGATGGTCGTAGTTGCTCATGGCGATTCTGTTGTATCTCAGGACACAGTGCGTTATTCCAACTGTCTTTAGCAGGAACATAGATCCAGGTGAAGGTGAAAGCCGGGTGGGAGGTTGTCTTCCTAAGACGTGCCGCTTTCTCCTTGTTCACCAGCCACACTGTGCTTGCTGTGTTATCTCCAACAATGCTGTGAACTTCTCTGAGCTTCTCCAGTCTAGGAAGGCATTGTGCTTAGCTTCTTTCCATCACTTCAGAGTTAGGCTTATTAAGATAATATCTGGCTGGGCGCGGTGGCTCATGCCTGTCATCCCAGTACTTTGGGAGGCCGAGGCAGGCAGATCACAAGGTCAAGAGATCAAGACCATCCTGGCCAACATGGTGAAACCCCATCTCTTCTAAAAATATAAAAATTAGCAACACTTAACTGAGCACTGACCTGCCAACCACTGTCCCAAAAGGACAACTAATAGAACACCTTGGCATGTAGTTGGGTAAACCTTAGCAAGGGAGCTTTTCTCCACCCAGCTGTGATCAGAACCATTTCTAAGCCATGGGTGCCCAGGTGGCCTCCTTACCACTCTGCCCTAGAGTTTTCTTGACCAGGCAGTGCTAAGTAGGTCCCTATGCGCTCACACTGACCCTGTCCTAAACAGTTTCTCCATAGGCCTGAAAGATCACCCAGAATTAGCCTAATGGTGATAGGCAAGGTAGCCATGAATCTCCTTGACTACCAGACTTGAATAGGAATTATTCTCCATCAGTGATCCTCCTCAATAAAGAGAATCTCCAGAATATAGCACCTCCGTGCTCTGCTACAGTCATAACCAAAATCCCCTCTCCAGTCCTGCCCTCGGAACTTTTGCGATCATCTTCTATTGGTGCATGAGGAGTGTTTGCCATAGAGGACAGTCCTGGCACTCGCACCCCTTTCAGTGTCTTAAATTGGAGAGACAGCCAGTATTCCTGAGTCTGGGCTGTTCACTGTTTTAAGCTGACAGCTGTGAATTCCACAGGTGGACTTTGGGTAATATGAAAAATGTACGGCTCTCCTTCAGATGGTCTCATCATTCATTTGGATGGAAAGAGAAGGCACTCATCAGTACTCTTTCTACCGGAAGGACTTTTCATTGGCTTCCAAAGTTAACATTGTGTCTTATTACCTCTCTCCAATAGTGGAATGATTTTTTTTTTTTTTTGACGGTGTCTCGCTCTGTCGCCCAGGCTGGAGTACAGTGGCGCGATCTTGGCTCACTGCAAGCTCTGCCTCCCAGGTTCATGCCATTCTCCTGCCTCAGCCTCCCGAGTAGCTGGGACTACAGGCGCCCGCCACCATGCCCGGCTAATTTTTTGTATTTTTAGTAGAGACAGGGTTTCACCATGTTAGCCAGGGTGGTCTGGATCTCCTGACCTCGTGATCCGCCTGCCTCGGCCTCCCAGAGTGCTGGGATTACAGGCATGAGCCATCGTGCCTGGCCCCTATGCCATTCTTTTTTTTTTTTTTTTCTTTTGAGATGGAGTTCTGCTCTTGTTGCCCAGGCTGGAGTGCAATGGTGCGATCTCAGCTCACCGCAGCCTCCACCTCCCGGGTTCCAGCGATTCTCCTGCCTCAGCCTCCCAAGTAGCTGGGATTACAGGCATGAGACTCACGCCTGGCTAATTTTGTATTTTTTTTTTTAGTAAAGACGGGGTTTCTCCATGTTGGTCAGGCTGCTCTCGAACTCCCGATCTCAGGTGATCCCCCCCCCCGCTTCGGCTTCCCAAAGTGCTGGGATTACAGGCCTGAGCCACCACGCCCAGCTTTTTTTATTTTTTTAATTGAGACAGGCTCTCCCTCTGTTACCCAGGCTGGAGGGCAGTGGCGCAGTCTTGACTCACTGCAGGCTCCGCCTCCCAGGTTCAAGCAATCCACCTCAGCCTCCGAAGTAGCTGGGACTAAAGGCGCGCACCACCCTGCCTGGCGTTTGTATTTTTTTCGGTAGAGATGGGTTCTTACTGTGTGTTAGCCAGGATGTTTCTAACATTGAACGAAATAATTAGGTCTTTAGCTGGGCGTGGTGGTGCACACCTATGGTCCCAGCTACCCAGGAGTCTGAGGCAGGAGGATGACTCCAGGCCAGGAGTACAAGGCCACAGTGTGCAGTGATGGTGTCTGTGCATAGCTACTGCAGTTTAGCTTGGGCAGCAAAAACCTGCTCTCAAAATTAACAAGACCAGGCACGGTGGCTCATGCCTATAATCCCAACACTTTGGGAGGCCAAGGGGGAAGAGGATTACTTTGAGCTCAGGAGATCAAGACCTGCCTGGGCGACATGGCAAAACCCCGTTATTAAAAAAAAAAAATAGGCCAGGCGGGGTGGCTCACGCCTGTAATCCCAGCACTTTGGGAGGCCGAGGCGGGCGGATCACAAGGTCAGGAGTTCAAGACCAGCCTGGCCAATATGGTGAAACTCCATCTCTACTAAAAATACAAAAAAATTAGCCGGGCGTGGTGGCGGGTGCCTATAATCCCAGCTACTTGGGAGGCTGAGGCAGGAGAATTGCATGAACCCAGGAGGCAGAGGTTGCATTGAGCCGAGATCCTGCCACTGCACTCCAGCCTGGGCAACAGAAAGAGACTCCATCTCAAAAAATAAAAAAAAGTGGGGCTGGGCGCGGTGGCTCACGCCTGTAATTCCAGCACTTTAGGAGGCCGAGGTGGGTGGATCACGAGGTCAGGAGATCGAAACCATCCTGGCTAACATGGTGAAACCCCGTCTCTACTAAAAAATACAAAAAAAAATTAGCCGGGCGTGGTGGCGGGCGCCTGTAGTCCCAGCTACTTGGGAGGCTGAGGCAGGAGAATGGCGTGAACCTGGGAGGCAGAGCTTGCAGTGAGCCAAGATTGCACCACTGCCCTCCATCCTGGGCAACAGTGAGACTCTGTCTCAAAAAAATGATAATAAAGTAAAAATAAAAAATACAAAAATTAGCTGTGTGTTGGTGGGTGGCTTGTGCCTATAGTCCCAGCTATTTGGGAGGCTGAGACTGTAGAATTGCTTAAGCCTAGAAAGTGGAGGCTGCGGCCGGGTGCAGTGGCTCACACCTGTAATCCCAACACTTTGAGAGGCTGAAGTCGGTGGGATCACCTGAGGTCAGGAGTTCGAGACCAGCCTTGCCAACGTGGTGAAACCCCCATCTCTACTAAAAATATAAAAAATTACCTTGGTGTCGTGGTGGCCGCCTGTAATCTCAGTTACTTGGGAAGCTGAGGCAAGAGAATCACTTGAACCCAGGAGAGAGAGGTTGCAGTGAGCCAGGATCGCACCACTGCACTCCAGCCTGGGCAACAGAGCAAGAGTCCGTCTCAAAAAAAAAAAAGAAAGAAAGGGAGGTTGCTGTGAGCTGAGTTTGCGCCACTGCACTCCAGCCTGGACAGCAGAGTGAGACCCTGTCACATACCAGGCACAGTGGCTCACGCCTGTCATCCCAGCACTTTTGGAGGCCAAGGCGGTCAGATCACTTGAGGTCAGGAGTTTGAGACCAGCCAGGCCAACATGGTGAAACTGTGTCTCTACTGAAATTACAAAAATTAGCCAGGCATGGTGGCACACACCTGTATCCCAGCTACTTGGGGCGCTGAGGCAGAAGAATTGCTTGAACACAGAGGGTGGAGGTTGCAGTGAGCCGACATCCAGCCACTGCACTCCAGCTTGGGAGACAGAGCAAGACTCTGTCTTCAAAAAAAAAAAAAAAAAAGACCCTTTCACACACAAGAAAAATCCCAATAAGCAAATAATTAAAATTAATAATGGCTGGATGCAGTGGCTCACATATAATTAAAATTAATAATAGGCTGGATGCAGTGGCTCACATCTGTAATCTCAGTACGGCACTGGCTCACATCTGCAATCTCAGTACTGCAGTGGTGCACATCTGCAATCTCAGTACTCTGGGAGGCCAAGGTGGGCCGATCACTTGAGCCCAGGAGTTTGAGACCAGCGTGGGCAACATAGCAAAACCCCATCTCCACAAAAAATACAAAAACTGGCCAGGTGTGGTGTGCGCCTATAGTCCCAGTTGCTCAGGAGGCTGAGGTGGGAGGATTACTAGAGCCTAGGAAGTGGAGGCTGCAGTGAGCTGAGATTATGCCACTGCACCCCTGCCTGGGTGACAGAACAAGACCCTGTCTCAAAAAAAAAAAAAACAGGCCGGGCGCCCTGGCTCACACCTCTAAACCCAGCACTTTCGGAGGCAGAGGCAAGTGGATCTCTGGAGCTCAGGAGTTCAAGACCAGCCTGGGCAACATGGTGAAACCCTGTCTCTACAAAAAATACAAAAAAAAATACAGGCATGGTAGTGCATGCCTGTAGTCCCAGCGACTTGGGAGGCTGAGGTGAAAGAATGGCTTGAGCCCAGGAAGTGGAGGTTTCAGTGAGCCAAGATCATGCCACTGCACTCCAGCCTGGGCCACAGAGCCAGACCCTATCTCAGAAAACAAAAACAAAACCGCAGCCTGGGCAGTAAAGCAAGACACTGTCTCTATAAAAAAAATTTCAAAATCAGCTGGGTGAAGGGCCGGGCACAGTGGCTCACGCCTGTAATCCCAGCACTTTGGGAGGCCGAGGTGGATGGATCACGAGGTCAGGAGTTGTAGACCAGCCTGGCCAAGATGGTGAAACCTTGTCTCTACTAAAAATACAAAAATTAGCCGGGTGTGGTGGCGCGGGCCTGTAGTCCCAGCTACTCGGGAGGCTGAGGCAGGAGAGTTGCTTGAACCCGGGAGGTGGAGGTTGCCGTGAGCCAAGATGGCTCCAGTGCACTCCAGCCTGGGTGACAAGAATGTGACTCCATCTCAAAAAAAAAAATCAGCTGGGTGCAATGCCACCCGCACCTTTAGTCCCAGCTACTCAGAAGGCTGAGGTGGGAGAATATCTTGAGCCCAGGAGTTTGAGACTGCGGTGAGCTGTGATCACACTACTGCACTCCAGCTTGGACAACAGAGTTAGACCCTGTCTCTAAAAAGAAATAACAAAATCATGTACTCAGGAGACTAAGGTGAGAGGATCGCTGGACCCAGGAGTTTAAGATGAGCCTGGGCCACATAGGGAGTCTCCTGTCTCAAAAAACAAAGCCAAGGCCAGGCGTGGTGGCTCACGCCTGTAATACTAGCACTTTGGGAGGCCAAGGCAGATGGATAACTTGAGCTCAGGAATTCGAGACTGGCTTGGGCAACATGGCGAAATCCCATTACTACAAAAAATTAGTTGGGCGTGGTGATGCGTGCCTGTAGGCCCAGCTACTCAGGAGGCTGAGGTAAGAGGATGGCTTCAGCCTGGGAGGTAGAGGTTGCACTCAGCTGAGGTCTGCACTCCCGCCTGGGTGACAGAGCCAGACCACTCTGTCACAAGACAACAACAAAGCCAAAAACTCACAAAACTCATTTGGATTTTAGGTTTTTTGAGACAAGGTCTCTCTCTTTTGCCCAGGCTGGAATGCAGTGGCATGATCACGACTCACGGTAGCCTTGACTCCCTGGGCTCAGGCGATTCTCCCACCTCAGCTTCTCGAGAAGCTGGGACTAACAGACATGCACCACCTTGCCTGGCTAATGGTTTTTTTGTTTGTTTGTTTGTTTGTTTTTGAGACGAAGTCTCGCTCTCCTGTCCTCATGATCCACCCGCCTCGGCCTCCCAAAGTGCTGGGATTACAGGTGTGAGCCACGTGCCCGGCTTGTTTTTTGTTTTTTTAGGAGATTGGGTCTCACTTTATTGCCCAGGCTGGTCTTGAACTACTGGCCTCAATCAGTCCTCCTGCCTTGGCCTCCCAAAGTGCTGGGATTACAGACGTAAACCACTGTGCCCAGTCATTTTTTTTCAAACATTTATTTTTTCTTTTTTTAAGAGTCAAGGTCTTGCTCGGTCCCCCAGGCTGGAGTGCGTTGACACGATCATGGCTCAGTGTACTCACAAACTCCTAGGCTCAAGCGATCTCTCACCTCAGCCTCCCAAGTAGCTGCAACTGCAGGCATGCACCACTATGCCTGGCTAATTTTTTTTTTTTTTTTGAGACAGAGTCCCGCTCTGTCGCCCAGGCTGGAGTGCAGTGGCGCGATCTCGGCTCACCGCAAGCTCTGCCTCCTGGGTTCATGCCATTCTCCTGCCTCAGCCTCCCTAGCAGCTGGGACTACAGGTGCCCACCACCACGCCCAGCTAATTTTTTGTATTTTTAGTAGAGACGGGGTTTCACCGTGTTAGCCAGGATGGTCTTGATCTCCTGACCTTGTGATCCACCTGCCTCAGCCTCCCAAAGTGCTGGGATTACAGGCGTGAGCCACCGCGCCTGTCCAACCTGGCTAATTTTTAAATAATTTTTGTAGTGATGAGGTCTTGGCTGTGTTGCCTACGCTGGTCTCAAAATCCTGCACTTAAGTGATCCTCCCACCTCAGCCTCCTAAAGTTCTAGGATTACAGGTGTGAGGCACCACGCCCAACAAAATTCATTTTCTTTTTTTTGTTTGTTTGACACAGAGTCTTGCTCTGTTGCCCAGGCTGGAGTGCAGTGGCGTGATCATGGCTCACTGTAGCCTTGACCTTCCAGGCTCAAGCCATCCCCCTACCTGAGTGTCCTGAGTAGCTGGGACTACAAAAGTGTGCCACCATGCCCAGCTAATTTTTTAAGTTTTTTGCAGTGACAGCCATGTTGCCCGGGTTGGTCTTGAACTCCTGAGCTCCAGGGATCCACCTGCCTCAGCTTCCCTAAGTGCTGGGGTTAGAGATGTGAGCAACCGTGCCCAGCTAAAACTCATTCTCTATGGAGAATGTTTACTAGTTGTTATTATTAGAGAGTTGTTTATTACTTCTTCAGGAAACCATAATGTGAAAAATCCAATGAAAATAGTTTGCTGTTTTGGGTGCTTAGCCGAGTGGGAGTTAAAGGTTTGCATTCCTAATTAGAAACTTTGTGGCCGGGTGCAGTGGCCCACACCTGTAATCAATCCCAGCACTTTGGGAGGCCGAGGCGGGTGGATCACTAGGTCAGGAGATCGAGACCATCCTGGCTAACACGGTAAAACCCCGTCTCTATTAAAAATACAAAAAAAATTAGCCAGGCATGGTGGCGGGTGCCTGTAGTCCCAGCTACTCGGGAGGCTGAGGCAGGAGAATGACGTGAACCCGGGAGGCGAAGCTTGCACTGAGTCGAGATTGTGCCACTGCACGCCAGCCTGGGGGACAGAGCGAGACTCCGTCGTGGTGTCCCACACCTATGATCCCAAAACTTGGGGAAGCCGAAATCCTAACAATCCCGGGAGTTCACCAGTCTGGGCAACGTGGTGAAACCCCATCTCTACAAAAAATACAAAAATTAGCCGGGCGTGGTGGCGTGTGCCTGTATTTGAAGCTATTCGTGAGGCTGGGTGGGAGGCTTGCTTGAGGCTGAGGCTGCAGTTAGCTATGATCATGCCACTGCACTCCAGCCTGCGTGACACAGCAAAACCCTGACTCATTTTTTTTTTTTTAAAGAAACTTTGACTCTTGTTTGAATTTACTCGTTTTGTTTGACTGTGTTCATTTATTTTCCTTGAGTTTTAGAATCTCAGCATAGAATAAATCCATTCTGAACTATGGTATGTAGGGCCACCATACACACTCGTGTCTTAGGAATTTTAAGCGTTTGTAATATGTTCTTTCTCTGGATCCTCAGTGTGTTATCAGATGTTGAGTGTTTTAACCCTTTATTTCCCCAAGCATTTTTTTTTTAATGACCTGTTTGCTTCATAGCGAACAGTCTAGTTTCTGTTTTATTTACGATCTCGGGAATTGATTTTTAAGCAGTTAGCCCCTTAGTTTTTCAGTTCAGCTTCTTGGTTCTTTTACCTTTTAGCTGTCAAAGATAAAATTGAGATCACCTATCTTAGATTTAAAAAGATACCAG
Source organism: Homo sapiens (assembly GCF_000001405.40). Taxonomy (NCBI): domain Eukaryota; kingdom Metazoa; phylum Chordata; class Mammalia; order Primates; family Hominidae; genus Homo; species Homo sapiens. The sequence continues at coordinate 380,456 of NT_187613.1, read as the reverse complement.
AGGCCAGGCACTGTGGCTCATCCCTGTAATCCCAACACTTTGGAAGGTTGAGGCCGAAGGATTGCTTGAGCCCAGGTGTTTGAGACTAGCCTGGGCAACATAGTGAAACCCCATCTCTACAAAATATTTAAAAATTACCCAGATATGGTTGAGCGTGCCTGTAGTCCCAGCTGCTCAGGAGGCTGAAGTGGGAGGATTACTTGAGCCTGGGAGGTCAAGGCTGCAGTAAGCTGTGATTGTGCCACTGCACTCCAGCTTGAGCGACACAGCGAGACTCTGTCCCAAAAACAACGAAAACCACAACAAGAGATAGTTTTTCTTCTTCGGAATTATACATTCTAGATGTGAAGAGAAAAAATGTGTGAGCTCAGTGCAGACACAAGCTCTCTCCACCTTCTGAACAGCAGCAGGGACCCATGAAAAACAAGAGCTTGCTACATTTCCTGAGGTTGAAAAGTAGATGCAGGCCAGGCGCAGTAGCTCACACCTGTAATCCCAGCACTTTGGGAGGCTGAGGTGGGTGGATCACCTGAGATCAGGAGTTTGAGACCAGCCTGGCCAACATGGTGAAACCCCGTCTCTACTAAAAATACAAAAAAAAAAAAAAAAATTAGCTTGTCATGGTGGTGGGAGCCTGTAATCCTAGCTACTCAGGAGGCTGAGACGGGAGAATCGCTTGAACCCGGGAGGCAGAGGTTGCAGTGAGCAGAGATCACGCCACTACACTCCAGCCTGGGCGACACAGTGAGATTTGGTCTCAAAAAAAAAAAAACATGCAACAGAACCTTGAGGCTTACACTGCTCTGTAAATGGGGTAGCGACAGAACATATTTGGAGAATGCAGTGAAAGCCCCCGTCGTTGATCAAGTATGAGAGCACGTCCTGATCAGCCTAGTCTCCTGGCCTCCTCATCCTTCCCTGGGGCTGTAGTGATGGGCATCTTTCTTCCCAGGGGATGTTTCAGCTTCCAAATGTGATGTTGGTGTGCTGTGAAGAGAAGGGGTTATTTTTTCTAGAGTTTTTTTTGCTGATTAAATCTTGACTAAATGTGTATGAGGCATGCATGAAAGCTCCATTTCGGCCAGGCACAGTGGTGGGCTCCTGTAGTCCCAGCTACTCAGGAGTTTGTGGTGAGAGGATCACTTGAGCCCCGGAGGTCAAGACCAGCCTGGGTAACATAGTGAGATCCCAACTCTAAAAAAAATAAAAATAAAATCTGCATTTCATTTCCAGTGTAGTACATCATTAAATAACAGCCTGCTCTGTTTTTTCCAGGGGTGAGCCCCTCCAGACTCCGAATAGGAGATCAAGAGTTTGATTCATTGCCTGCTTTACTGGAATTCTACAAAATACACTATTTGGACACTACAACGTTGATAGAACCAGTTTCCAGATCCAGGCAGGGTAGTGGAGTGATTCTCAGGCAGGAGGAGGCGGAGTATGTGCGAGCCCTCTTTGACTTTAATGGGAATGATGAGGAAGATCTTCCCTTTAAGAAAGGAGACATCTTGAGAATCCGGGACAAGCCTGAAGAGCAGTGGTGGAATGCGGAGGACAGCGAAGGCAAGAGAGGGATGATTCCAGTCCCTTACGTCGAGAAGTATAGACCTGCCTCCGCCTCAGTATCGGCTCTGATTGGAGGTAACCAGGAGGGTTCCCACCCACAGCCACTGGGTGGGCCGGAGCCTGGGCCCTATGCCCAACCCAGCGTCAACACTCCGCTCCCTAACCTCCAGAATGGGCCCATATATGCCAGGGTTATCCAGAAGCGAGTCCCCAATGCCTACGACAAGACAGCCTTGGCTTTGGAGGTACATAACGTGCACAATGTAGAAAGAAGAGATCTGCTGCAGGGTCTCCTCTCGGTCCTCTTAGAGCTTTGTAGCAATGCTGACTACAGCATTGGGATGTTGTAGATGGCAAGCCGCTAAGCACTGATGTTGGCATTGAATGTTGGGTTTTCTCTTCTTCATAGAAAACCTGTTTGGGAATGAGTAAGCTTAAAACTGTATAACTGAATGTTCTTAATTGATCTACTAAACACACTTGGACTACTTTAATAACACCACCTGAATTCACAGGAATTAACCTCAAATGTTTTTCCTCATCTACATCCTCATCTGTTTCTTGCTTTCTGTTTGTCGTTGTCTAAAAGAAGGTGGGTTCAGATGGATTTGAGTGTAATAAGTGGTCTCTATCAAAGCACTTAAATGGAATTTTCCCGCAAAAACTTGTTTTTGCTTCAGGGGACTTGAAGTTCCTTACCACTAATGTTCATTGAGTAGAATCCGGGAGGAAATAGGCCTAGTAGAGGTTTGAAGAGATGCACACCCAGAAGTCCTCATTCCGAGGAGTGGCAGGTGCACGGGTCTTTCTAAATCATTCAAAAAGCCAGTTCTTCCTCAGGAATTAATTTTTGCCTTTACTGATGAAATATCTTTGGCAGCCCACTTCCTTCTGGCCAGCCATTACATGGTGTTAATTCCTTTATTCCTCTCTTCCACGCTCACACCTTGCTCTCCTACCTCCTTCCTTTCTTCTTCCTTCCTCCCTCTCTCCCTTCCTTTCTTTTCAGAAGAATTGATGGTTCAGTGTAAAAGCTAGTACAGACTGGGCACAGTGGCTCACACTTGTAATCCTAGTGCTCTGGGAGGCTAAGGCAGGAAGACCACTTGAGACCAGGTGTTCAAGACCAGTCTGGGAAACATAGACCTCAGCTTTTTTTAACAAAAAGTGAAAAAAAAAAATCACCAGGCGTGGTGGCATGCACCTGCAGTCCTGGCTTGAATGAGAAATGGAATGTATGTTGTCAGAGTTATCACTGCCTCTTGTTCCCATTCCCTGTTTGGAGGAAAATAGATTTCTACCCTCAGGTCTTCCTGTGAGTTCAGATGACGGTAACATCTGGCATGGTGCTGTGTGTATGATGGATCTTACTCCTTTTTATTTTCTTTTTTTTTTTTCCTCTCTGCTTTTTTTTATTTTTATCTGGCCTTACTGAGTCACTAGATGTAACTCTTGACATTTATTACAGACTTTATTAGCACTGGGTTGAAGTAAGTATGAAAACATGGAACAAAGGCTGGGCGTGTGGCTCATACCTGTAATCCCAGCACCTTGGGAGGCCGAGGTGGGCAGATCACTTGAGCTCAGGAGTTGGAGACCGGCCTAGGCAACATGGCAAAACACCATCTCTACAAAAAATTAGCTGGGCATGGTGGCACGTGCCTGTGGTCCCAGCTACTTGGGAGGCTGAGGAGGGAGGATCACCTGAGCCTGAAAGGTCATGGCTGAAGTGAGCTGAGATCATGACACTGCACTCCAGCCTGGGCGACAGGGTGAGACTCTGTCTCAAAAAAAGAAAAAGAAAAAAAGCCATGGAACAAGCCAGCTGACCCAGGAGAAACCAGTTATCATGTGAATTTTGCTTCTATTTGCATTTCCTTTCTCAGAGATTTAATCATGCCTGCCTTAATTAGAGGCTTTACTGCTCAAAAAAATGGTTGAGCTTCTCTACCTGCTGTGAAACACAAATCTCATTAAATAAAGATTTGAGTAGAAAACTAGTTTTATGATTTTAGTAAGTTTTCCTTTTTGATTTGGGTATTGGGTTTTTTTGGATTTTTTTTTTTTTTTTTGGTTCTTTTTGAGACGAAATCTCACTCCATCGCCCAGGCTGGGGTGCAATGGCACGATCTCGGCTCACTGCAACCTCCGCCTCCCAGGTTCAAGTGATTCCCCTGCCTCAGTCTCCTGAGTAGTTGGGATTACAGGCATACCCCATTGTGCCTGGCTAATTTTTGTATTTTTAGTAGAGACAGGGTTTCACCTTGTTGGCCAGGCTGGTCTCAAACTCCTGACCTCAGGTGATCCACCCGCCTCAGCCTCCCAAAGTGCTGGGATTACAGGTGTGAGCTGTCGTGCCTGGCCAATTTCTAGAAATGTCTTTATGTTGAGCTAAAACATATGTACTATGTGTGGTCACCGCTCATCAAGGGTATGGGGAGCTTAGCTTCAGGCATTATCAGTTGAGCTAGAGATCTTTGTGACTCACACCAGAACCAGGGTAAGGCCTATCTCCCAGGATTCTGTGGGATGTTTTTTCTGTTCATGTGGACTGTTAAATCTCAAACACTGGCAGCTTTCCACCAATACTACCCATGCCAGTTTCAGTCCATCTCTGATGCAGGTGAATTGTTAAGGCTGAATTGTCCTCATTTGTTTCCATCAATTTGAAAGACTGTCGATGGGCCCTAGATACACTACCTGTTACTTAGATCAGGGGTCTGCAAACCTTTTCTGTAAAGGTTTTTGAGGGCCTTAAATTCTGTGTCCCAACTCTGCCATTGTAGCAAGAAGGAAATCATAGATAAAACAACAGATGAGCTTGCTGTGTTCCAATAAAGCTGCAAAAACAACAGGCTGATGTTTGGCCAGGTGCTGTGACTTACGCCTGTAATCCCAGCACTTTCGGAGGCTGAGGTGGGAGGATCGCTTGAGTCCAGGTGTTTGAAACCAGCCTGGGCAACATGGTGAGATCCGGTCTCTACAAAAAATGTTTTTAAAAATTAGCCAGGTGATCTAAAAAAAAAAAAAAAAAAAAAACCATACATGCTGGGTGCGGTGGCTCACGCCTGTAATCTCAGCACTTTGGAAGGCTGAGGCAGGCAGATCACCTGAGATCAGGAGTTTGAGACCAGCCTGACCGATATGATGAAACCCTGTCTGTACTAAAAATACAAAAATTAGCCAGGCGTGGTGGTGGGCGCCTGTAATTCCAGCTACTCGGGAGGCTAAGACAGGAGAATCACTTGAACCCGGGAGGCAGAGATTTCAGTGAGCTGAGATCGTGCCATAGCACTTCAGCCTGGGCAACAAGAGTGAAACTCCATCTCAAAAAAAAAAAAAAAAAAAAAAAAAAGCCAGGCGTGGTGGTGTGCACCTGTGGTCTCAGCTGCTTGGGAGGCTGAGGTAGGAAAACTGCTTGAGCCTAGGAGGTTGGAAGAGAAGGCTCCTGTGCTGCCTCTCTGTACTTGCTCTTCCCTGGTTTTGTGTGTATGAATTTGTGTGTGCTTCCTGCCCTGAGCTCACTGAAAGCAAGTCTGGATCAAGGCATGTTAGCAGTCAGTGATGTGCTGCTGGTTGGTAGTAGGGACCTAGAAAAGCAGTCACCTGGGTTTGCGCCAGCAAAGAAAACCAGTTCTGTGATGTCCCCTGTGTAGTGAATTCCAAACATTGATACCATTTGGGTTCTGATTTTGTTCTCATTATCTCTGGAACGCATTGATCAGCTGGGTAATCTTTTGTTCCTGTACCAATTCTAGATCTGATTGCACCAGGATCGATTAGCCTTGAAAACGACACAGAGCTAGGGAATAGCCAGTGTTTGTTACGTTCCTTGGGAGCAAAGAAACTGTAGTAACCACATTCAGTCTTCTTTATGAATGACTCCATGATACAGCCGGGACTTGCTTCCTAAAAAAGTGAAGATGAAAGGATGCTTGTTATATTTTAGTCAACTTTTCTAGGTGTTTTGTGGATTGTGGTTCTTTAGGATATAGTCTTAAGTCCACCATTCTACTTGATAGCAAACTCTGTTTAAATACCTCAATCTTATATTGTCTTTGTTCTTCTTTTCTTTTTTTTTTTTTTTTGAGACGGAGTCTCGCTTTGTTGCCCAGGCTGGAGTGCAGTGGCGTGATCTCGGCGCACTGCAAGCTCCGCCTCCTGGGCTCATGCCATTCTCCTGCCTCAGCCCCCCAAGTAGCTGGGACTACAGGCGCCCGCCACCACGCCTGGCTAATTTTTTATATTTTTAGTAGAGATGAGGTTTCACCGTGTTAGCCAGGATGGTCTCGACCTCCTGACCTCGTGATCCACCTGCCTTCGCCTCCCAAAGTGCTGGGATTACAGGCGTGAGCCACCGCGCCTGGCCTTTTTTTTTTTTTTTTTTTAAGACAAGGTCTCACTCTGTCACCCAGGCTGGAGTACAGTGGCGTGATCTCACTCTGCCTCCTGGGTTCAAGTGATTCTCGTGCCTCAACCTCCCGGGTAGCTGGGATTACAGGCATCCACCACCACGCCTGGCTAATTTTTTTATTTTTAGTAGAGATGGGATTTCGCCACATTGGCCAGGCTAGTCTCAAACTCCTGGCCTCAAGCGATCCGCCTGCCTCAGCCTCCCAAAGTGCTGGGATTATAGGCATGAGCCACCCCGCCTGGCCTATGTTGTCTTTATTCTTAAACATTCAGAGTGCAGTCTCAAATCCCATCCCACAGAGCTGTAAGAAGCTCCTAAGAATGTGTTACAGGATGAGGAGGCTGAGGACCAGCCTGGACAGTAAAACAGTTCCTCTGTGGTGAGACTCATCAGTCTCTTTGCTGTAGTGAGGTCTCCCTCTTGGAAAGAAAGGTTAACTACCTTGTAGTACTTCAAGTCCTGTATGAAGTCTTTGTTGTTCATTGGTAATTCATATTAGGATTTTTCTTTCCTATTTATAACTTGAATTTTGAAATCAGTAGTGTTAGAACTACTGTTATTACTACATTCACTGATTAGTACATTCCTTTGTATTGTCAGATTGTAACAGTTCTGGGGCAAGCACTCGGTTTCACCTTTGTATTTGAAGTAGTACACCCTAGTCTGGTCAACATGGTGAAACCCATCATTACAAGAATTAGCCAAGTGTGGTGCACATGCCTGTAGTCCCAGATACTCTAGTGACTGAGATGGGAGGATGGCTTCAGCCTGGGAGGTCAAGGCTGGAGTGAGCTATGATTGCGCTACTGCAGTCCAGGCTAGGCGACAGAGTGAGACTCTGCCTCAAAAAAAACTAGTACACCAAGTTTCTTTTTTTTTTCTTTTGTATTTTTAGTAGAGATGGGGTTTCACTGTGTTAGCCAGGATGGTCTCGATCTCCTGACCTCGTGACCCACTCCCCTCTGCCTCCCAAAGTGCTGAGATTACAGGCGTGAGCCACCGCCCCGGTATGATACCCCTCACCTTCCCTGATCTGATCTTTGGGAATTATGCTTTAGTGAATTAACAGGTGGAAGCACAGTTCTGACTTTGTTTCTGAATTGGAGGAAGAACTGCATTTACTGGAGCAAAATGTTCTTAGAATGCCCCACCCCCTCCGGCCTTCTTCCTCTGCCCTCCTCCAGCCAGAGTCAGCAGCCACTCCTTCCTCCAGACTGTTAAAGACCTAAGGCCACATGTGGCACCACAGGAAGACCTGGTCTCTAAATATCATCATAGTGCCTTTGGGACCTCAGGAGCATTTTCATGTGCTCTAAACGTTTCAGGAGAAAGGCCCCAAAAAGCACAAAGGGTTAATTTGTTTGTTTGTTTGTTTGTTTGTTTTGAGACGGAGTCTCACTCTGTCGCCCAGGCTGGAGTGCAGTGCGTGATCTCGGCTCACTGCGAGCTCCGCCTCCAGGGTTCACGCTATTCTCCTGCCTCAGCCTCCCTAGCAGCTGGGACTACAGGCGCCTGCTACCACGCCCGGTTAATTTTTTTGTATTTTTAGTAGAGACGGGGTTTCACCGTGTTAGCCAGGATGGTCTCGATCTGCTGACCTCGTGATCCACCCACCTCGGCCTCCCAAAGTGCTGGGATTACAGGCATGAGCCACAGCGCCCGGCCATAGGGTTAATTTTAACAAGGTCTTCCTTGAGGTATTTTTACTTCAAAGCCACGTTGGTCAGGTTAATTAGCCCAATTGATTGCTTACAAATTTTCTTTATCCGTTTAAAAATCAGAATCAGGCTGGGTGTGGTGGCTCACGCCTGTAATCCCAGCACTTTGGGAGGCCAAGGCGGGCGGATCACGAGGTCAGGAAATGGAGACCATCCTGGCTAATACTGTGAAATCCCATCTCTACTAAAAAAAAAAAAAATACAAAAAATTAGCCGGACGTGGTGGCGGGCATCTGTAGTCCCAGGTACTCGGGAGGCTGAGGCAGGAGAATGGCGTGAACCCGGGAGGCGGAGCTTGCAGTGAGCCAAGATCGCGCCACTGCACTCCAGCCTGGGCGACAGAGCGAGACTCTGTCTCAAAAAATAATACTAATAATCAGAATGAGCCCAGGTACAGTGGTTCACGCCTGTAATCCCAGCACTTTGGGAGGTCGAGGTGGGTGAACTCTTCACCTGAGGTCAGGAATTCGAGACCAGCCTGACTAACATTTTGAAACTCCATTTCTATGAAAAAGACAAAATTAGCCAGGCGTGGGGGCACACGCCTGTAATCCCAACTACGTGGGAGGCTGAGGCAGGAGAATCACTTGAACCCGGGAGGTGGAGGTTGCAGTGAGCTGAGATTGTGCCACTGCACTCCAGCCTGGGCAACAAAAGCGAAACTCTGTCTTTAAAAAAAAAAAAAAATCATTTGAGTTATGGCATAGCCATTATCTCATCTCCGTATATTTGAACCTGTCTGCCAAAAACCTAATCATCTGTAAAGAAAAGATTCGTGTTTTTGGTTGTTTTTCTCTTTTTTTTTTTTGAGATCAGGCTTTGCTCTGTTCCCCAAGCAAGGGTGCCCAGTTGTAGCTCACTGCAGCCCCAAACTCCTGGGCTTGTGATCCCCCTACCTCAGCCTCCCAAGTAGCTGGGACTACAGGCACATTCCACTGTACCTGGCTAATGTTGTACTTTTAATTTTGTAGAAATGGAGTCTTGCTTTGTAACCTAGACTGATCTTGAACTCCTGGCTTCAGGCAATCTTCCTCCTGCTCGGGCCTCACAAAGCACTGGGATTATAGGTGTGAGCCACTGCGTCTGGCCTCTTTTTTTTTTTTTTAAGAGAGACAGAGTTTCACTGTGCTGCTGAGGAAGGCCTCAAACTCCTGGGCTCAGCTGGGCAAGGTGGCCCATGCCTATAATCCCAGCACTTTGGGAGGCCGAGTTGGGCAAATCACTTGAAGTCAGGAGTTGCATACCAGACTGTCCAATGTGGTGAAACCTGGTCTCCACTAAAAATACAAAAATTAACTGAGCATGGTGGCGGGCGCCTATAATCCCAGGTCCTTGGGAGCCTAAGGCACAAGACTCCAGGAGGCGGAGTTTGCAATGAGACAAGATTGTGCCACTGCACTCCAGCCTGGGTGAGAGATCAATACAGTGTCTCAAAAAGAAAAAAAAACCCTGGACTCAAGGGTTCCTCTCCCCTCAGTCTCCCAAGTAGCTGGGACTACAGGTGCAGGCCAGCGTACCCGGTGTAAAAAAAAAAGTTTTAGATTTTGGCATGGTTTTCCTCTGCAGGGTAGATCCAAGAGAATCTGGCTGGGCACGGTGGCTCACACCTGTAATCCCAGCACTTTGGGAGGCCAAGGTGGGCGGATCACCTGAGGTCAGGAGTTGGAGACCAGCCTGGCCAACATGGTGAAACCCCATCTCTACTAAAAATGCGAAAAAATTAGCCGGACGTGGTGGCGTGCGCCAGTAATCCCAGCTACTCAGGAGGCTGAGGCAGGAGAATCGCTTGAACCCAGGAGGCGGAGGTTGCAGTGAGCTGAGATTGCGCCACTGGACTCCAGCCTGGGTGACAAGAGTGAGGCTCCATCTAAAAAAAAAAGAGAGAGAATCTGTACATTAAAGATAGTTCTGAGCCGGGCGTGGTGGCTCACGCCTGTAATCCCAGCACTTTGGGAGGCTGAGGTGAGCAGATCACGAGGTCAGGAGTTCAAGACCAGCCTGGCCAATATGGTGAAACCCCATCTCTACTATAAATACAAAAATTAGCAGGGCGTGGTGGCACATGCCTGTAGTCCCAGCTACTCAGGAGGCTGAGGCAGGAGAATCACTTGAACCTGGGAGGCAGAGGTTGCAGTGAGCTGAGATCATGCCACTGTACTCTAGCCAGGGCAACAGAGTGAGACGCTGTCTCAAAAAAAAAAAAAAAAAAAAGATCTGATATGGTCCAAAGGTCTAATTTACACATAGTTCCTTTCCCCAATAACATCTTGCCTCATAGAAATCCCTACTCATTTATCCCTTAGAAGTCTGAAAGAAGGGCTGGCACGGTGGCTCACACCTGTAATCCCAGCACATTGGGAGGCCGAGGTAGGCAGATCATGAAGTCAGGAGATCGAGACCATCCTGCCCACCATGGTGAAACCCCATCTCTACTAAAAATACAAAAATCAGCTGGGCGTGGTGGCGGGCGCCTGTAGTCCCAGCTACTCTGGAGGCTGAGGCAGGAGAATCATTTGAATCCTGGAGGCGGAGGTTGCAGTGAGCCAGCATCGTACCACTGCACTCCAGCCTGGGTGACAAGAGCAAAAACTCCATTAAAAAAAAAAAAAAAAAAGTCTGAAAGAAAAGATCTGGAGGCACATTAGCAGGTTTTGCCCCACATTTTGAGAAATTGGTATGGTTCTGTGTTAACAGCAAGGGGTGGGGCTGGTCCACTTTTCAACCTACCCTTCACCTCTTAGAGCTTTGTGGGATGTGATTTGAGACTGCAGTATGAATGCTTAAGAATAAAGACAATATAGGCTGGGCGCGGTGGCTGATGCCTGTAATTCCAGCACTTTGGGAAGCCGAGGTGGGCGGGTCATGAGGTCAGGAGTTCGAGACAAGCCTGCCCAGCATGGTGAGACCCCGTCTCTACTAAAAATACGAAAAAAGTACTGGCTGGGCATGGTGGCTTGTGCTTGTCGTCCCAGCTACTTGAGAGCCTGAGGCAGGAGAATTGTTTGAACCTGGCAGGTGGAGGTTGCAGTGAGCCAAGATAGCGTCACTGCACTCCAGCCTGGGTGACAGAGTGAGACTCTCTCTCAAACAAACAAAAAGAATAAAGACAATATAACATTGAGGTATTTATTTATTTATTTGAGACTGAGTCTCGCTCTGTTACCCAGGCTGGAGTGCAGTGGCGTGATCTCGGCTCACTGCAAGCTCCGCCTCCTGGGTTCACACCATTCTCCTGCCTCAGCCTCCCGAGTAGGTGGGACTACAGGCGCCCGCCAGCACGCCTGGCTAATTTTTTGTATTTTTAGTAGAGACGGGGTTTCACCGTGTTAGCCAGGATGGTCTGGATCTCCTGACCTCATGATCTGCCGCCCTCAGCCTCCCAAAGTGCTGGGATTACAGGCGTGAGCCACCGCGCCCGGCCAAGATTCTTTTTTTTTTTTTTTTGGAGACAGAATCTTGGTCTCTCCACCAGGGTGGGGTGCAGTGGTGCACTTGGCTTGCTACAGCTCAAACTCCCAGGCTCAAGTGATCCTCCTGCCTCAGCCTCCTGAGTAACTGGAACTACAGGTGCATACGATGATACCTTACTAATTTTTTTTTTTTTTTCAAGAGACACAGTCTTGCTATTGTTGCCTAGCCTGGCTGGGGCATGTCAGAATCTTTTTTTTTTTTTTTTTTTTTTTTTTTTTTTTTTTTTTTTTTGGAGACAGTTTTGCTCTGTCGCCCAGGCTGGAGTGCACTGGTACTATCTTGGCTCACTGCAATCTCTGCCTCCCGGGCTCAAGTGATCCTCCCATGTCAGCCTCTTGAGTAGCTGGGACCACAGGCGCACACTACTATGCCTGGCTAATTTATTTATTTATTTTATTTTTTGAGACAGTGTAACTCTGTTGGCCAGGCTGGAGTGCAGTGGCACAGTCTCGGCTCACTGCAACCTCCTCTTCCCAGGTTCAAGCAGTTCACTGCCTCAGCCTCGCAAGTAGCTGGGATTACAGGCGCCTGCCACCACACCTGGCTAATTTTTGTATTTTAGTAGAGACGGGGTTTCACCAATTTGGCCAGGCTGGTCTTGAACTCCTGACGTCGTGATTCACTCACCTCGACCTCCCAAAGTGCTGAGATTATAGGCGTGCGCCACCACGCCCAGCCAATTTTTTTATTTTTTGTAGAAATGAGGTTTCACTATGGTGCCCAGGCTGGTCTTGAACTCCTGAGCTCAAGTGATCCTCCTACCTCGCCTCCCAAAGTGCTGGGATTAAAGACGTGAGCCCCACAGCACCCTGCCCAGATGTGAGAAACGTTGAATTCTAAAATTGCTGGCAGGCCAGGTGTGGTGAGAGTCCTGGTGACAGCAACCTGTGAGGATTGTTACCTGTGTGTAAGGATAGGCATGCCATCATCCCTTCCTCCCCTTCCTCCACACTTGTGCTCAGCTGGCATCGTCACGACACAGGCTGGGCCATCATCCCTTCCTCTCCTTCCTCCACACGTGTGCTCAGCCGGCATTGTCACGACACAGGCTGGGTTAGCTGCTTGGTTTTCTCTTTTTTTGCAGACAGGGTCTTGTTGCCCAGGCTAGGGGGCAGCCTTGACCTCCCAGGAGGCTCAGGTGACCTCCTACCTCAGCCTCCCAAGTAACTGGGACCACAGGCGCACACCAGCACGCTTGGCCACGCTTGGCCACACTTGGCTTTTTAAATTTTTTTGTAGAGACAAGATCTCACTCTTTTGCCAGGGCTGCTCTCAAAATCATGGGCTCAAGCCATCCCCCCACCTCAGTTTCCCAAAGTGCTGGGATTACAGGCATGAGCCACTGCACCAAGCCTGCTGCTATTTTTTTCTCAACCTCTGTGTCTTATGTGTCTCTCTATCCCCTTCTTTCTGTCCCTCCTTTTCTCAGCATCCTATGACCCATACAGTGACTTCAGGCCTCTGTAATTTTTAGAGAGTTCTTCAGGAAACAACAGAGGGGCCAATAGGCAAGCTGTTCCATCTGTAAGTGAGGTCAGGCTGGGCCTGGAAGAGGCCCTGCGGCTGGACTTACGTTGGCTTTGGCCAGTAGATGTGCCTGCGTACATTTTTAGGGAACCCAGTACAAGCCCAGATGCATAATTTGAAAGTTCCTGATACTGTATGAAATGCATAAATGGTGTGGAGGCTCATGCCTGTAATTAGCTGGGCATGGTGGCGTGCACCTGTAGTCTCAGCTACTCGGGAGGCTAAGGTTGGAGGATCCCATGAGCCCAAGAGTTACAGGCTGCAGTGAGCCATGATGGTGTCAGTGCTCTCCAGCCTGAGTGACAGAGTGAGACCCTGTCTCAAAAACAAAAGATAAAAAGATGGCCAGGCGTGGTGGCTCACACCTGTAATCATAGCACTTTGGGAGGCCGAGGCGGGCGGATCACGAGGTCAGGAGATCGAGACCATCTTGGCTAACATGGTGAAACCCCATCTCTACTAAACAAAATACAAAAAATTAGCTGGGCGTGGTGGCGGGCGGCTGTAGTCCCAGCTACTAGGGAGGCTGAGGCAGGAGAATGGCGTGAACCCGGGAGGCAGAGCTTGCAGTGAGCTGAGATAGCGCCACTGCACTCCAGCCTGGGCAACAGATCGAGACTCTGTCTTAAAAAAACAAACAAAAAAAACCTTTATATTTCATTTTGCAACAAGAGACATTTTATAAATAAATGCCAAAACATAAGGTTTTTTTTTGTTTTTAGAGGCAGGATCTGGCTCTGTTGCCCAGGCTGGAGTGCAGTGATGTGATCTCGGCTCACTGCAACCTCTGCCTCCTGGGCTCAAGCAGTCCACCCACCTCAGCCTCCCGAGTAGCTGGTTCTATGAGCAGCCACCACCACACCCAGCTAATTTTTGTATTTTTTGTAGAGACGGTTTCACCATGTTGCTCAGGCTGGTCTCAAAAACTCCTGAGCTGAAGCAATCCATCCACCTGTGTCAGGCTCACCAAGTGCTGGGATTGCAGGCGTCAGCCACTGCGCCCGGCCATGGTTGGTTTTTTTGACCCCTCATTGGGTAATGATCAGGTAACAAGCGGCTTTGAGGGAGCAGCAAGGTCTGTCCGATGGTGGGATTTGGGGGCTGGGCAGGCAGTGGCTTGTGAAGTAGAGCTTACTGAATGAGGTGGGGGTTTTCTGGGAGCTAATTGGACCTGGAGTTTTGGCCTCTACCTGCCCATATGGGAAAAGGCTTGCCTGGGTCAGGAGGTGATAGGAACACTTGATTCTCTAGGACCAAGTGACCTATGCTTGCCATGATCGCTTTCTGCTGTGCAAGCAGTAACAGGCCAGGTCTTGTGCGAGTGGGCTGGGGGATTGTGCTGCTGCCATATGCTAAAGCGGGGAGAAGGCGGCCAGGCACAGTGGCTCACGCCTGTAATCCAAGCACTTTGGGAGGCCAAGGCAGGTGGATCACAAGGTCAGGAGTTCGAGACCAGCCTGGCCAAGATGGTGAAACTCCATCTCTACTAAAAATACAAAAATTAGCTGGGCACGGTGGCAGGCGCCTGTAGTCCCAGCTACTCGGGAGGCTGTGGCAGGAAAATTGCTCGAACCTGGGAGGCAGAGCTTGCAGTGAGCTGAGATCACGCCACTGTCATCCAGCCTGGGTGACAGAGACTCCGTCTCAAAAAAAAAAAAAAAAAAAAACGGAGAAAGCTGCTTCTCCTCGGACAGGGCCTGCGGAGCAGGCAGAAAGCTGAGGGTAGTGAGTACAAAGAAAGGGAATAGTAGCTAACTCACTGAAGTTGGGATTGCTCATGCAGAGACAGCTGAGATTTCCAATAATTATCACTTTCCTTTTTTAATCAAAAAGTATCATTATCTGGAATCCCTTTTACTTTCTGTATTCTCTGTTTTTCCACACTGCTAAAAACACTTTTCCTTCTGCCTGCATTAACCACAAGTAATCAGTCTGGTGGCTGGGGCTGGGGAGGCAGCAAATGGCCATTTCTGTAATATCCCTAGAGCAGTCACATGGGCAGGGTGTGCCTAACCAGAGAATGGAGTTGTTCAGCTTGCATTCCTACCTGGAAATAAAGTGCTCTCCTTATTCTCCTCCTGCAGGTCGGTGAGCTGGTAAAGGTTACGAAGATTAATGTGAGTGGTCAGTGGGAAGGGGAGTGTAATGGCAAACGAGGTCACTTCCCATTCACACATGTCCGTCTGCTGGATCAACAGAATCCCGATGAGGACTTCAGCTGAGTATAGTTCAACAGTTTTGCTGACAGATGGGAACAATCTTTTTTTTTTTTTTCCAACTGCCATCTATACAATTTTCTTACAGATGTCAAAAGCAGTCTAGTTTATATAAGCATTCTGTTACCTGTGATATTTTTTAGACTGAACTGCTCCATTCCTAGTCTTAATTACCATATTCAGGGTACGAACTGGAGGGCTTGTGTGTTAGCTTCTGAATTGGCAATTGGAGGCGGTAGTGGTCGTGCCTGTGTGTATCAGAAGGGATAGGTATCTTGCCTCCTTTCTCTCAGGCAGTGCAAATCACCCTGTGGAAAACCGATGGACAGGAAGGAGTGTTACACACTGCTTACCCTGATTTATTCAGTGGTTTTGTTTTCATTCTGGAACCATACTATCAAATGGCGACAGACTGTTCCGTTCCACCCCCGTGAAGTAATCATGCACCGTGTGAATAGTATCAAGCAGGATTGCTTTCATTGTATGGAGCATGACCAGCGTGTGACTCATTCTGACATTTCAGATCCTAAGAATTCTAAGAACACTACTAGAAGCATTTGTTCCCTCCTAGTCAATGCTTCATACTTTTTCTTGGGATTCTTTTAGCCCTTGACATTCTTGTCCCCCAAACCTGTAAGTAGGTGAATTCCTAAGATAAGTGTGTATTTTCATTCCAGGTGAAAAGCAGGATGTACCGAGCACTTTATTCAGTGCATAGCTTTAAGCCAGTGTTGGATTCACTAAGTGGACAGCCAGTCTCCCAGCTCTCTGCCTTCCCCAAAAGGGTCGTAGTAGGTCACCCTTCTACAGCAGCTAACTAGAGTCCTAACTAATGGGATCCAGCAGGGCCATTTCTCCAGAGGGCCAGTATCCTATTAGGAGACTCTTGGAATTCTTAGGTTCTACTCAAGAGTGGAAGGACCAATCACCTCTGATATTCTGTGGAAGGTTTTGGGGTCAAATTCTGCCCTCTGCATTCTGTGCAACTTGTATAAAAGTCAAGTTAGTATTACATGAATTTGGGGTAGGGTTAGTGCTTTGAAAAAATGTTGAACCGGCTGGGCGCGGTGGCTCACGTCTGTAATCCCAGCACTTTGGGAGGCCGAGGCGGGTGGATCATGAGGTCAGGAGTTCGAGACCAGCCTGGCCAACATAGTGAAACCCCATCTCTGCTAAAGATATAAAAAATTAGCCCGGCGTGGTGGTGCACGCCTGTAATCCCAGCTACTCGGGAGGCTGAGGCAGGAGAATTGCTTCAACCTGGGAGGTGGAGGCTGCAGTGAGCCGAGATCGCACCACTGCGTTCCAGCCTGAGCGACAGGGCAAGACTCAGTCTCAAAAAAAAAAAAAAGGAAAAAAAAAAGAAAAAAAAATGTTGAACCAATTGTGAATTACTTATGTATTATTCATTTCTCATGGGGAGAGTAATGCTGTTGAAGAACATTACATTGTAAACTGCCTTCATTTTTGGCTCTTTGTTTATGTTCAGGTTTAGTTTACAAACCCATTTAAGTATGGAATGATTTATATGGGGTCAGGTGCTCCACAAAATAGACCTATGAGACCAAAAATGACCTAGGCTATTTAGACGACAGCATGAAACTTCCACGTTAGTTCTCAGTCTATAAAGGCACTTACCGGTCTCTGGTGTGGTATGACCAATAGAAACACCTTATAGTTTGCTTTGGACCTCATTTTGGAAAAATAATCTGCCTTTCTAATTGTTCTGCATAGGTTAAAATGATAAATTTACATTCTTTGAACCTATACCAGATTGTGGTGTCCGAGTGACCGGCACACTGTCTGACACACAGTCAGTGTGCACGTATTTGTCTGAGTGAATGAGGAGACCTGAGAAACCGGTGACGTGGCACAGGGAAGCCAGCTGGCCCAGGATTCCGTACATGGCCGCAAGCAGACTAACGCGTTGACGCTAATTTAATGTATTTTACCTCACACTAAGGTCATGCTTGATAAAGACGTTAAACTCAACTTGTAAAATGGTAGCCCAGTGCTATGCACAGAGTGGGTGCTCATTAGTGTTGAATGAACACATTTGTAATACTACATGTAATTCCATCTGACTGCTTTGTTAAATTTTCAGTTAGAACGTAGATACTGTAAAGTCCACACACACATTAAATCTTGTTTTCCTGAAAGTATGGCATCAAAAATACTTGTAGAAAAACCTTGTCACAACTGATTTGAATGTTCCTATTTTCTTTTCCTTTGACTTTGATATTGGCTTGTAATGTCTCTTTTCATCATATGTAATATCAGTGGAACAGGCAGCGCTACTCAAGTCCTAAGGATTCCTCAGTGATCAGTGATCCAGGGCCGTTCATGAACCACTGGGCTGGATTTGACTGTTGAGTGTGGCAGTTAATGCCCCTCAAGAAATCAAAGGATGTCTTATAAGTGTCTTCCAAAAAAAAGCAAATGCTGAAATCCTATTGGCAAAGTAAACTGAAATTGGCTGCTATATTTTATATAATCATTTCTGCAAATCCCATTTTTTGAATACTAATATTTGACATGGTTAATTCTTATTAATTTGTTGGAATTGTTTATTGTTAATAATGCAAATAGATAATTTTTAATTATCCACAAGTAACATTTCACTGTTAATGGTTTGAAATAGGTGATAAGCAAACCAATTTGAAATAAAATATAAACATGTGCCATTGTATTATAACACTATACACTTTCTTGACAGTTAAATTTAAAAAAAAATTTTTTTTGGTAGCATGTATTGTATATGTTTATAGTATATGTAGTAAATAAAAATATGGCCAAATGTTTGGCTTGGTGATCTTTTGCAAAAAAGTAATCTTTGAATATTTTTCACAAAAGAACTAAATCTTTTTTTTTTTTTGAGACAGAGTTTCGCTCTTGTGACCTAAGCTGGGGTGCAGTGATGCGATCTCGGCTCACTGCAACTTCCGCCTCCCACGTTCAAGCAATTCTCCTACCTCTGCCTCCCGAGTAGCTGGGGTTACAGGCATGCACCACCACGCCCAGCTAATTTACTGTATTTTTAGTAGAAATGGGGTTTCACCATGTTAGCCAGGCTGGTCTCAAATTCCTGACCTCGGGTGATCCGCCTGCCTCCGCCTCCTAAAGTGCTGGGATTACAGGCTTCAGCCACCACCGCACCCAGCGAGAGGTAAATCTTTATGCTTAGGGGATAGGAGGTATGTGCCTTCAGCAGCCTGCAGTCATATAATTAGATAAACAATTATACAAGCTCAGTGGGTGCTTATTAAAGATGGGATTAGGCCGGGTGTGGTGGCTCATGCCTGTAATCCCAGCACCTTGGGAGGCAGAGGCGAGCGGATCAGAAGGTCAGGAGTTCGAGACCAGCCTGGCCAACATAGTGAAACTCCGTCTCTACTAAAAATACTAAAATCTGGCTGGGCATGATGGCTCACGCCTGTAATCCCAGCACTTTAGGAGGCTGAGGTGGGTGGATCACAAAGTCAGGAGATCGAGACCATCCTGGCTAACATGGTGAAACCCGGTCTCCACTAAAAATACGAAAAATTAGCCGGGCGTGGTGGCACGCGCCTGTAGTCCCAGCTGCACGGGAGGCTGAGGCAGGAGAATCGCTTGAACCCGGGAGGCAGAGCTTGCAGTGATCCAAGATGGCACCACCGTACTCCAGCCTGGGCAACAGAGCGAGACTCTGTCTCAATTAATCAATCAATAAAATACAAAAATTAGCCAGGCGTTGTGGCGTGCACCTATAGTCCCAGCTACTCGGGAGGCTGAGGCAGATGAATTACTTGAACCTGTGAAGTGGAGATTGTAGTTAGCCGAGATCACGCCACTGCACTCCAGCCTGGGTGACAGAGCAAGACTCCATCTCAGGGAAAAAAAAAAAAAAGATGGGATTAATCAATGGTGATATATATAGACACAGATTTTTTTTTAATTATTTATTTATTTATTTTTGTTGAGATGGAGTTTCGCTCTTGTTGCCCAGGCTGGAGTGTAGTGCTGCGTTCTTGGCTCACTGCAACCTCCACCTCCTGGGTTCAAGCAATTCTCCTGCCTCAGCCTCCCGAGTAGCTGGGATTACAGGCATGCGCCACCATGCCCGGCTAATTTTGAATTTTTAGTAGAAACGGGATTTCTCCATGTTGGTCAGGCTGGTCTGGAACTCCCAACCTCAGGTGATCCGCCTGCCTCAGCCTCCCAAAGTGCTAGGATTACAGGGATGAGCCACCGTATCCGGCCTTTTTTTTTTTTTTTTTTTTTGGCGGGGCGCAGGGTGGGGGGCGGGGACGGAGTTTCACTCTTGTTGTGCAGGCTGGAGTATAGTGGCGCTATCTCAGCTCGTTGTAACCTCTGTCTCCTGTGTTCAAGCGATTCTCCTGCCTCAGCCTCCCGAGTAGCTGGGATTACAGGCACGTGCCACCATACCTGGCTAATTTTTGTATTTTTAGTAGAGATGGGGTTTCACCATTTTGGCCAGGCTGGTCTCAAACCTCCTGACCGCAGGTGATCCACTTTGGCCCCCCAAAGTACTGGGATTACAGGCGTGAGCCACCGCGCCTGGCCTCGTGATTTTTTTTTTTTTCAAGACAAAATTTTCCTCTTGTGCCCCAGGCTGGAGGGCAGTGGCGTGATCTCAGCTTACTCCAACCTTGCCTCCCGGGTATAAGCGATTCTCCTGCCTCAGCCTCCCGAATAGCTGGGATTACAGGTGCACGCCACCAGGCCCTGCTAATTTTTGTATTTTTAGTAGAGATGGTGTTTCACCATGTTGGCTAGGCTGGTCTTGAACTCTTGACCTCAGGTGATCCACCCGCCTCGGCCTCCCAGTGTGCTGGAATTACAGGCGTGAGCCACTGCGCCCGGCCTCTGGCCTGGTGATATTTTTAAAGGTCTCCATGAGTATGAGTCATAAAATACTGATTTGAGGGGACCATAAGAATCATATAAAGGCCTGAAAGCAGGCCAGGTACAGTGGCTTATGCCTGTAATCCTCGCACTTGGGAGGCCTAGGTGGTGGAATCATTTGAGATCAGGAGTTTGAAACCAGCCTGGCCCACGTGGTGAAACACTGTCTCTACTAAAAATACAAAAAAAAATTAGCTGGGTGTGGTGGTGTGCGCCTGTAATCCCAGCCACTTAGGCCGCTGAGGCAGAAGAGTTGCTTGAACCCAAGAGGCTGACGGTGCAGTGAGATTGTGCCACTTCACTCCAGCCTGAGCGACAGGGTAAGACCCTGTCTGAAACAAAACCCAAAACCAAAAAAAACCCTGTTGAATGGCGTGTTCTTTTATATAGTCTACAGTATTCATACCAGCTGTCGTATTTTATGACCTGGACTTCCAGGTTAAATTCTGTTCCTCTTACAGGTATGAAAAGATGAGAGGGGGCCGGTATAGAAGAAAATGTGAAAATAACCATTAACCCTGCTAAGTTTGACAGGGAGAGGCGGAGAAAGTGGCGTGCTGTTGCCACCCATGTTCTGAAGACTGTGAAATGGGAGATAAGGTAGAGGCAAAAAAGAACCTTTAGCCATCTAGAAGTGAAGCTCAAAAACAGAGCAGGCCGGGCGCGGTGGCTCACGCCTCATCCCAGAACTGTGGGAGCCCGAGGCGGGTGGATTATGAGGTCAGGAGATCGAGACCATCCTGGCTAACACGGTGAAACCCCATCTCTACTAAAAATACAAAAAACTAGCCAGGTGTAGTGGCGGACGCCTGAGTCCCAGCTACTCCGGAGGCCGAGGCAGAGTGGCTTGAACCTGGGAGACGGAGTTTGCAGTGAGCCGAGACCACGCCACTGCACTCCAGCCTGGACGTCAGAGTGAGACTCCATCTCAAAAAAAAAAAAAAAAAAGCCAGGTGTGGTGGCAGGTGCCTTTAATCCCAGCTACTCGGGAAGCTGAGGCAGGAGAATCACTTCAACCGGGGAGGCAGAGGTTGCAGTAAGCTGAGATCGCACCATTGCACTCCGGCCTGGGCAACAGAGCGATACTGTCTCAAAAATAAATAAATAATATAAAATTAGCCGGGCATGGTGGGGGATGCCTGTAATCTCAGCTACTCAGGAGGCTGAGGTGGGAGACTCTCTTGAACCTGGGAGGCAGAGGTTGCAGTGAACCAAGACCACACCACTACACTCCAGCCTGGGCGACAGAACCAGACTCCGTTTCAAAAAGCAAACACGCAAAAAATCTATGATACTTAGAAAAAAGGAATGAATGTGATGAGTGTTGTTTTTTTTTTTTTTTTTTTGAGGTGGAGTTTTGCTCTGTTGTCCAGCCTGGAGTGCAATGGTGCCATCTCAGCTCACCACAACCTCCACCTCCCAGGTTAAAGCGATTCTTCTGCCTCAGCGTCCCAAGTAGCTGGGATTCCAGTGCGTGCCACCACGTCCGGCTAATTTTTTGTATTTTTAGTAGAGATGGGGTTTCACCATGTTGGCCAGGCTGGTCTTGAACTCCTGACCTTGTGATCTGCCCACCTCAGCCTCCCAAAGTGCTGGGATTACAGGCGTGAGCCACCATGCCCGGCCCTTTGTTTGTTTCTTTTGAGAGACAAAACTCACTGTTGCCCAGGCTGGGATGCAACAGTGCAACCCGGACTCAGCGCAGCCTGGACCTCCGGGACTCAAGCAATCTGCCCACCTATGCCTCCAAAATAGCTGGGACGACAGTTGCGCACCACCACACCTGGCTAGTTTGTTAATTTTTGGTAGAGATGAGGGTTTTGCTATGGCTGCTCTTGAACTCCTAGGCTCAAGTAATCCTCCTGCCTCAACCTCCCAAAATGCTGGGATTATCTGTGTGAGCTGCCATTCCCGGCTGAATGTGATTTTTTTTGTTTTTTGTTTGTTTGAGATGGGGTCTCACTCTGTTGCCCAGGCTGGAGTGCAGTGGCGTGATCTCAGCTCACAGAAACCTCCGCCTCCTGGACTCAAGCGATCCTCCCACCTCTCAGCCTTCCAGGCAGCTGGGACTACAGGCGCACACCACCATCCCCAGCTAATTTTTGAGGTTTTTTAAAATTACTATTTTTTAAGAGATGGGGTGTTGCTATGTAGCCCAGGCTGGTCTCAAAGGATCCACCTGCCTTGGCCTCCAAACATGCTGGGATTACAGGCCTGAGCCACCACGCCTGGCCAAAGTGAGGTTCTTGATCGTATTTTCTTTTTTTCTTTTCTTTTTTTTTTTTTCCGAGACAGAGTCTTATTCTGTCACCCAGGCTGGACTACAGTGGTACAATCTTGCCTCACTGCAACCTCCGCCTCCTGGGTTCAAGAAATTCTCCTGCCTCAGCCTCCCAAGTAGCTGGGATTACAGGCGCCCACCATCACACCCAGCTAATTTTTGTATTTTTAGTAGAGACGGGGTTTTACCGTATTGGCCAGGCTAGTCTTGAACTCCTGACCTCAGGTAATCCACCTGCCTCAGCCTTCCAAAGTGCTAGGATTACAGCCGTGAGCCACTGCGCCTGGCTCAAGACCCCGTCTGTTAAAAAAACACAAAACTATCAGTTCTCGCTGGATGGACGTCTCCATTTGGAAGTGGTGAAGGCACCTCACACTCAACATATTCCAAGCCAAATTCATGATCCCTGCTGGGCGTGATGGCTCATGCCGGTAATCCTAACACTTTGCAAGCGGAGGCAGGAGAATCACTTGAGTTCAGGAGTTCGAGACCAGCCTGGGCAACACAGTGAGACCCTGTCTCTAAAAAATAAAAATAGGCTGGACACGGTGGCTCACACCTGTAATCCCAGCACTTTGGGAGGCCGAGGCGGGTGGCTCACGAGTCAGGAGATCCGAGTCAGGAGATCGAGACCATCCTGGCTAATATGGTGAAACCCCATCTCTACTAAAAATACAAAAAATTAGCTGTGCAAGGTGGCGAGTGCTTGTAGTCCCAGCTACTCTGGAGGCTGAGGCAGGAGAATGGCATGAACCCAGGAGGTGGAGCTTGCAGTGAGCCAAGATCACGCCACTGCACTCCAGCTGGGACAACAGAGCGAGACTCTGTCTCCAAAAAAAAAAAAAAAAAAAAAAAGGCCGGGTGTGGTGGCTCACACCTGTAATCCCAGCACTTTGGGAGGCTGAGGCGGGTGGATCAGATCAGGAGTTCAAAACCAGCCTGGCCAAGATGCTGAAACCCCGTCTCTACTAAAAATACAAAAAAATTAGCTGGGCGTGGTGGCAGGTGCCTATAATCTCAGCCAATCGTGAGGCTGAGGCAGAGAACTGCCTGAATCCGGGAGGCGGAGGTTGCAGTGATCCGAGATTGTGCCACTGCACTCCAGCCTGACCAACAGAGCGAGACTCACTCGTCTAAATAAAATAAACTAAAATAATTTTTAAAAATTAGCCAGGCATGGTGGCAGGTGCCCGTAGTCCCAGATACTCGAGAGGCTGAGGCAGGAGAATCGCTTGAACCCGGGAGGTGGAGGTTGCAGTGAGCCGCGATCGCACCACTGCACTCCAACCTGGGCAACAGGGTGAGACCCCATCTCAAAAATAAAAACAAATTGATGATCCCGCTCCCCATTTGCTCCTCGTTCAGCTTTCCTATCTCAATGTCTATCACCGCTGGCCAGGCCACAGCTCTGGAGGCAATCCTCTCCTCTTTCCTCTCGCTGGTCATTTACCAAGTCCTTAGTCCTGCACAGTTCACTTTCCTCCCTCCCCACTGCTGCCACCGTAGTTCAAACTGCCAGCGCCTCGTCTGGATGACCTCAACAGCTGCCTAACTGGGCTCCTTGTCACTAGTTTTGGCCCTTCCAGTCCATCCACATCGCAGCCCCTGTGAGCTTTTATATCATCTCCTATTAGATTATATTCTCCTTCAGCCAGTGTCTAAACTCTCTGCAAAGGGAAACGGAGCTCTTCATGTTCGAGCTCCTCCTTCCCTTCCCAGCCTCATCTTCCTCACTCTCCCTCTGGTGCTCTGGGCTCCAGCCACACTGAATTTCTTGCCCTGTCTTTACCTGACCCACCTGCTCTCTCCTCTGGGTTTTTGGACACTGTAACTCTATCTCATTTTCAAACATCAGTCTTATCTAACGTCCTAATTTGGGTTAGGTGCCTGTCCTGTGTCCTGTCTTGCTAACATGCACTTACTGGCGTGACCTCACACTGAGCTGAGATTGCCCGTGAGTGTATCCATCACAAGGCCACAGCTACTCATTGTTGTATTCCCAACACCCAGCCCTGCTAGACACAGCAGATACCCAGAGGTTGTATTCTGAACCAAAAAGTGAAAACAGAATAGGTGGGCTAGAAGTCATCAAAAGCCATGTGGGCACGGTGGCTTACCCCTGTAATCCTAGCACTTTGGGAGGCCGACTTGGGCAGATCACCTGAGGTTGGGAGTTAGAGACTAGCCTGGCCAACATGGTGAAACCCCATGTCTAATAGAAAAATTAAGGCCGGCCACGGTGGCTCACGCCTGTAATTCCAGCACTTTGGGAGGCCAAGACGGGTGGATCACTTGAGGTCAGGAGTTCCAGACCAGCCTGGCCAACATGGTGAAACCCTGTCTCTACTAAAAATACAAAAACTAGCTGGGCCTAGTGGCAGGCACCTGTAATCCTAGCTACTTGGGAGGCTGAGACAGGAGAATTGCTTGAACCTGGGAGGTGGAGGTTGCAGTGAGCTGAGATCACACTGCTCTCAGCCTGGGAGAAAGAGCAAGACTCTGTCTCAAAAAAAAAAAAAAAAAAAAAAAAAAAATTAGCCGGGCGTTGTGGCGCACACCTGTAGTCCCAGCTACTTGAGAGGCTGAGGCAGGAGAATCACTTGAACCCAGGAAGCGGAGGTTGCAGTAAGTCGAGATCACACCATTTCACTCCAGCCTGAGCATCACAGCAAGACTCTGTCTCAAAACAAACAAAGTTACTCTATCAGTTAGCTTTGCTGCAAAGTAAACCATGCCAATCCTTAGTGGCTTAAAATAACAATCACTTAGCCATCTTATAATTACACAGGTCAGCAGCTGGGGTTGGGCTCAGCTGGGCAGTTCTCCAAGTCTTGGCCAGTTTCACTCATGGATGAGGTCAGATGCTGATTGGCAGGGGCTGGTTGATCTTGGATGGCCCTCAGCTGACACAGTTTATCTCTACTTCCTGTGGTCTCCCATCCTCCAGCAGGGCTGCCTGGACTGAGTCCGTGGCTATTGGCAGGGTTCCAAGAGACCAAGGTCTCTTAAGGTGTAGCCGTGGAATTGACACAATGTCAGTCCCCTACATTCTTTTTGTTATTTTCCCCAATTTAAATCTTTTAATTTAAAAGTAAACTTTACTGTTGAAAATGCAAACTTGGGGCCGGGTGCAGTGCCTCACGCCTGTAATCCCAGCACTTTGGGAGACCGAGGCAAGTGGATCACGAGGTCAGGAGATCGAGACCATCCTGGCTAACACGGTGAAACCCCGTCTCTACTAAAAATATAAAAAATCTAGCAGCTGGGTGTGGTGGCAGGCGCCTTAATCCCAGCTACTCGGGAGGCTGAGTTCAGAAGAATGGCTTGAATCCGGGAGGCAGAGGTTGCACTGAGCCAAGATTGCGCCACTGCACTCCAGCCTGGGTGAAAGAGCGAGACTCTGTCTCAAAGATTAAAAAAAAAAGAAAATGCAAACTTGGGGAGGGCAGAAAGGTCACACACAAGGCTGCCACGTCACACCTGGAGAGTTGCACAGCTGCCGAGCAGAGGTGCTCCTTGCTTCCCAGAAGGTGCAGCCGCCGAACTCCCCTGCATTCTATTGATGAAAGCAAGGCACAAGGCCAGCCGAAACTCCAGCAGGCTTTGTCTGCTTGCAGGATCATCACTTTTGTTTAGTTTTGTGTGTTTGAGACAGGGTCTCATTTTGTCACCCAGGCTGCAGTGCAGTGGCAGAGTCACAGCTCACTGCAGCCTCGACCACCTGGGCTCAAAGTATCCTCCCAACTTAACCTTGTGATTGGTAGGAACTACAGGTGCGCGCCACCGCGCCCAGCTAGGTTTTGTATTTTTTATAGAGATGGGGGTGTCACCATGTTGGCCAGGTCGGTCTAGAACTCCTGAGCTCAAGCAGTCCTCCTGCCTCAGCCTCCCCTACTGCTGGGAAGGACCCTCTTTTTCTGTGAGATGGAGTCTCGCTCTATCGCCCAGACTGGAGTGTAGTGACGCAATCTTGGCTCACTGCATCCTCCGCCTCCTAGGATCAAGCGATTTTCCTGCCTCAGCCTCCTGAGTAGCGGGGATTACAGGTACCTGCCACCACGCCTGGCTATGTTTTGTATTTTTAGTAGAGACGGGGTTTCGCCATGTTGCTTAGGCGGGTCTTGAACTCCTGAGCTCAGCTGATCTGCCTGCCTCAGCCTCCCAAAGTGCTGGGATTACAGGTGTGAGCCACTGCACCCAGCAGGATCATTTTTTAATTCAAACAAGGGCATTTCTTTAGCAGGAGTACCTTTTTTAATGAGTCCCACAAAAGTTCCTTATGAGCCAACAGGGCCCTGCTATTCAAATGAAAGTTAGCACAGAGCTGGTTACTAAAGAATATGCAAGGGCACAGGGTACGCAACGCAGCAAAATGAAGTCAGCACAAAACGAAAGACACAACTCTTATTAATGGATCAGAATAAATCAATGAGGAATAGAGAGAAACGCGAGCAAGGAAAAACAACAAAGACTCAGTGAGGTTAATATGTCTACATTGAATTCAGAAGTCACCGGAAAAACAAAGCACACAAAATATGATTTATTTCTATAAAAGACAAATCTATAGAGATAGGAAATAGATGAGTGGTTGCCTAGGGCTGGGAGTAGGAATGGAGGTTGATTGTAAATGGGCACAAAGTTTGATTTTAGTTTGATGGGAATGCTCTAAAATGGGACTGTGGCGATGGCGGGATAACTCTGTAATAGACTAAAACTCATTGAATTCTTGCTCAAAATAGGTGAATTCATGGTGTGGAAATTGTTTCTCAATGAACATATTCTTTTTATTTTGTTTTGCTTTTTGAGGCGGAGTCTTGCTCTGTCTAGAGACGGGGTTTTACCATGTTGACCCAGCTGGTCTCCAATTCCTGACCTCAGGTGATCTGCCCACCTCAGCGTCCCAAGTGCCAGGGTTACAGGCATGAGCCCCCGTGCCCGGCCCCAGCAAACATATTCTTTAAATATTGTCACTTGTCAGTCTTAGCACAATAAGACCAAAGGAAGCTTGCAGCAAGCACCACCTCTGAGGTATTCTGGCAAAAAAAACCAAAAAAAAACAAAAAACAAAACCTGAACCTGGCTGTCATCCAACCACCACTTTACAGGAAATTTAAGGAATAGGAAACAATTTAAACAGCATCACAAGGAAGCAAAGAAACAAGTCCAGAGGGCCGGGTGTGCTGGCTCACACCTGTAATCACGAGGTCAGGAGATCGAGACCATCCTGGCTAACATGGTGAAACCGTATCTCTACTAAAAATACAAAAATTACCTGGGCGTGGTGGCAGGCGCCTTAATCCCAGCTACTCGGGAGGCTGAGTTCAGAAGAATGGCTTGAACCCGGGAGGTGGAGGTTGCAGTGAGCGGAAATTGCGCCACTGCACTCCAGCCTAGGTGACAGAGCGAGACCCCCTGTTTCAAAAAAAAAAAAAAAAAGTCCAGAGTGTGAGATACTTTACATGACAAACAGCCCAGAGTTGTCGTCTTTTCATACATGATATGAAAAATAAAATGGCCAGGCGCGGTGGCTCATGCCTGTAATCCCAGCACTTTGGGAGGCCGAGGCGGGCGGATCACCTCAGGTTGGGAGTTCGAGACCAGCCTGACCAACATGGAGAAACGCCGTCTCTACTAAAAACACAAAATTAGCCAGGCGTGGTGGCACATGCCTGTAATCCCAGCTACTAGGGAGGCTGAGACAGGAGAATTGCTTGAACCCGGGAGGTGGAGGTTGTGGTGAGCCGAGATTGTGCCATTGTACTCCAGCCTGGGCAATAAGAGTGAAACTCCATCTTTAAAAAAAAAAAGAAAAGAAAAGAAAGAAAGAAAAAGGCAGGAAGGGGCCAGGCGCAGTGGCTCACGCCTGTAATCCCACCACTCTGAGAGGCTGAGGTGGGCAGATCACCTGAGGTCAGGAGTTCGAGACCATCCTGGTGAACATGGCGAAACCCTGTCTCTACTAAAAATACAAAAATTAGGGCCGAGCGCAGTGGCTCATGCCTGTAATCCCAACACTTTAGAAGGCTTAGGCAGGCAGATTACCTGAGATTGGGAGTTAGAGACCAGCCTGGCCAACATGGTGAAACCCTGTCTCTACTAAAAATACAAAAAATTAGCCGGGCATGGTAGTGGACACCTGTAGTCCCAGCTACTCAGGAGGCTGAGGCAGGAGAATGGCGTGAACCTGGGAGGTGGAAGTTGCAGTGAGCCGAGATCGTGCCACTGCACTCCAGCCTGGGCAGCGGAGTGAGACTCCATCTCAAAAAAAGAAAAAAATATTATTTATCAGAAACCAATAGTAAACCTCAATGGTGAAACACTAGAGTCATTCCTATTAAAATCAAGTATTCAATAGAATTCAATAATGCCCATTATTATATCTCTTATTTAATACTTCTCTGAAGCTCCAAGTCAATGCAGAAAGAAGTTAGAATTAAATAAGAACTTGGCTGGGCGCGGTGGCTCACGCCTGTCATCCCAGCACTGTGGGAGGCCGAGGCGGGCGGATCACGAGGTCAGGAGATCGAGACCATCCTGGCTAACACGGTGAAACCCCGTCTCTACTAAAAATACAACAAATTAGCCGGGCGTGGTGGCGGGCGCCTGTAGTCCCAACTCGGGAGGCTGAGGCGGGAGAATGGTCTGAACCCGGGAGGCGGAGCTTACAGTGAGCTGAGATCGCGCCACTGCACTCCAGCCTGGGCGACAGAGCAAGACTCCGCCTCAAAAAAAAAAAAAAATTAGCCGGGCATGGTGGTGGGCGCCTGTAGTCCCAGCTACTAGGGAGGCTGAGGCAGGAGAATGGCGTGAACCTGGGAGGCAGAGGTTGCAGTGAGCCGAGATTGTGCCAGTGCACTCCAGCCTGGGCAACACAGTGAGACTCTGTCTCAAAAAAAAAAAAAAAGAACTAATAAGACAGAGTTCAGTAAGGCAGTTGGGTACAAGATAACTATCAAAAATCATGGATTTGGGGCTGGGCGCAGTGGCTCATGCCTGTAATCTCAGCACTTTGGGAGGCTGAGGCTGGCAGATGGTTGAGCCCAGGCATTTGAGACCAGACAGAGCAACATGGCGAAACCCCGTCTATACAAAAAAAAAAAAAGTGATTTTTGTATATATCAGTGGAAGTATAGATCAATCAGAAATATAAAATAGGGCCGGACGCAGTGGCTCACGCCTGTAATCCCAGCACTTTGGGAGGCTGAGGTGGGCGGATTGCCTGAGGTCAGGAGTTCAAGACCAGCCTGGCCAACATGATGAAACCCTGTCTCTACTAAAAATACAAAAATTAGCTGGGCGTGGTGGCACATACCTGTAATCCCAGCTACTCGGGAGGCTGAGGCAGGAGAATTGCTTGAACCCGGGAGGCGGAGGTTGCAGTGAGCCGAGATCGTGCCACTACACTCCAGCCTGGCCGACAGAGCGAGACTCTGTCTCAAAAAAAAAAAAAGAAAAAAAGAAATATAAAATGGGGGAGAGCCCATTTATAATTATCAATAGCCTCCTAAATACTTGGGAACAAAGTTAATTAGAAATATGTGAGACCTTTATACATCTAACTATACAATTGTACTTAAGATCATTTCAGGCTGGGCGCAGTGGCTCACGCCTGTCATCCCAGCACTTTGGGAGGCCGAGGCGGGCAGATCACCTGAGGTCAGGAGTTCAAGACTAGCCTGGCCAACATGGTGAAACCCCATCTCTACTAAAAATAAAAATTTAGCCAGGCGTGGTGGCGTGCGCCTGTAGTCCCAGCTACTCAGGAAGCTGAAGCAGGAGAATCGTTTGAACCCGGAGCAGAGGTTGCAGTGAGCCGAGATTGTGCCACTGCACTCCAGCCTAGGCGACAGAGTGAGACTTTGTCTCAAAAAAAAAAACAAAAAAATCATTTCAGCAAGGAGACTGGAATAAAATTGGAGAATTTTCCTGAGAAAACTCATTTTTGAACATATCTCCAATTCTTGGGCTGGGTGCAGTGGCTCAAGTCTGTCATCCCAGCACTTTGGGAGGGCGAGGCGGGTGGATCACCTGAGGTCAGGATTTTGAGACTAGCCTGGCCAACATGGTGAAATCCCATCTCTACTAAATACAAAAAATTAGCCAGGCGTGGTGGCACATGCCTGTAATTCCAGCTACTTGGGAGGCTGGGGCAGGAGAATCACTTGAACCTGGGAGGCAGAAGTTGCAGTGAGCCGAGATTGTGCCATTGCACTCGAGCCTGGGCCACAAGAGCGAAACTTTGTCTCAAAAAAAAAAAGAAAAAAGAAAAGAAAAAGAAAAGAAAAAAAATTTCCAATTGTCTTTTAATTAATCTATAAATTCAGAACAGCCCCCCAAAAAACCTACATGGGTCTTGAGAGAACTTTTCTTTTTTTTTTTTGAGATGGAGTCTCGCTCTGTCGCCCAGGCTGGAGTGCAGTGGTGCGATCTCGGCTCACTGCAAGCTGCGCCTCCCGGGTTCACGCCATTCTCCTGCCTCAGTCTCCCAAGTAGCTGGGACTACAGGCGCCCGCCACCACGCCCGGCTAATTTTTTGTATTTTTAGTAGAGATGGGGTTTCACCGTGTTAGCCAGGATGGTCTCGATCTCCTGACCTCATGATGTGCCCACCTCGGCCTCCCAAAGTGCTGGGATTACAGGCATGAGCCACCGCGCCCGGCCGAGAGAACTTTTCAAGTTGATTCTGAAGTTCATCTAGCAGAGTAAAAGTATAAAATCAGTGAAATTTTGAATAAAAAAATGTTCTACCAGATATAAAAACATACTATAATGGTATTATATTTAAAATCTTATCGACATAAGAACAAACAGATCAGAGGAAATGAATAGAAAAATTCTAGAACCAGACATAGGAAAATTTGAAACATAATAAACATGTCATTTCAAATCACTTTAGATATGGATTTTTTTTTTTTGAGACGAGGTCTTGATCGGTCGCCAGGCTAGAGTGCAGTGGCTCAATCTCGGCTCACTGCCCCCTCCGACTCCCTAGTTCAAGCGATTCTCCTGCCTCAGTCTTCCGAGTAGCTGGGATTACAGGTACGTGCCACCACACCTGGCTAATTTTTGCATTTTTAGTAGAGAAGAGGTTTCACTATGTTGGTCATGCTGGCCTTGAACTCCTGACATCATGATCTGCCCGCCTCGGCCTCCCAAAGTGCTGGGATTACAGGCGTGAGTCACCGCGCCAGGCCTTGTTTTGTTTTTTTGAGACATAGTGTCTGTCACCCAGGCTGGAGTAAAGTGGTGTCATCAAGTCTCACTGCAAACTCCAAGTCTTGGGCTCAAGCAATTCTCTCTCCTCAGCCTCTTAAGTAGCTGGGACTACAAGCACACACAACCGTGCCGTTAATTTTTGTATTTTTAGTAAAGAGAAGGTTTCAGTATGTTGCCTACACTGGTCTCAAACTCCTGGGCTTAAGCGATTCCCCCCACCTAAGCCTCCTAAAGTGTTGGCATTACAGGCATGAGCCACCAAGCATGCATAGATTTTTTTATTTCTTCTTTGTTCTTTTTCTTTTTTCTTTTTTTCAAGACAGAGTCTGGCCCTGTTGGCCATGCTGGAGTGCAGTGCTGTGATCATGGCTCACTGCAGCCTCCACCTCCTGGGCTCAAGCGATCTTCCCACTATAGCCTCCGGAGTAGCTGGAACTACAGGTGCATGCCAACACCTGGATGTGCAGTGCATCCAACAATTTTTTGTAGAGACGGGGGTCTCACAGTGTTGCCCAGGCTGGTCTTGAAATCCTGGTCTCAAGCGATCCTCCCACTTTGGCCTCCTAGAGTGCTGGGATTTCAGGCATGAGCCACTATGCTGAGCCTGGGTTTTTTTTGTTTTTTTTTTTAAATACCATAAAGTCTATTGATTTTTTTTTTTTTTTTTTGAGACAGAGTTTTGCTCTGCCACCCAGGCTGGAGTGCAGTGGCATGATCTTGGCTCACTGCAACCTCCTCCCCCCGGGTTCAAGCGATTCTCCTGCCTCAGCCTCCCGAGTAGGCTCACTGCAACCTCCTCCCTCCAGGTTCAAGCAATTCTCCTGCCTCAGCCTCCCGAGTAGCTGGGATTATAGGTGTGCGCCATCATGTCCAGCGAATCTTTGTATTTTTACTTTTATTTTTATTTTTTTTTTTTGAGATGGAGTCTCGTTCTGTCACCCAGGCTGGAGTGCAGTGGCATGATCTCAGCTCACAGTAACCTCTGGCTTCCGGGTTCAAGTGATTCTCCTGCCTCAGCCTCCTGAGAAGCTGGGATTACATGGGGATTACACCCCCATGCCCGGCTAATTTTTTGTGTATTTTTAGTAGAGATGGGGTTTCACTATGTTGGCCAGACTGGTCACGAACTCCTGACCTCATGATCCGCCCGCCTTGGCCTCCCGAAGTGCTGGGATAAGAGGCATGAGCCACCGTGCCCGGCCTTTGTATTTTTAGTAGAGAAGGGGTTTCACCATGTTGGCCAGGCTGGTCTCAAACTCCTGACATCAGGTGATCCACCCGCCTCAGATTCCCAAAGTGCTGGGATTACAGAAGTGAGCCACCGAGCCTGGTTAATGATATTTTTTAACATCTTATTTCCTTCTCATAGTGCTTAGTACACTGCCACATATCTAGGGGCTCTCCGGACGGACTGAGTGAGTTCTTGTTTCTTATTAAAGCAGATTTTCTATCAGGCAGGGAGACTTACACTTGGGGTTGTGACCTATGACCTGGAGATTGTGTCAAAGGCGTTTCAATAGCAAGTGAAGTATCTATGGCCGCAGCAGCCGTGAAAAGCGCAGGACCGTATCACGACAGCCACTTCTGCGCAGCACCAGGATGTTTTATATCTGTTTATAATCCCGAATGCTACATCAAAATTGTTTCTGTCTATTTTTGGTGCCCTATCAACCATGTCTGCCCGTTAGTTCCATGTATTGAGAGAACGGGCAGTGCAGTCACACCAGCAATCTACGTGTAGGGTTTCTGCCGTCTCAGCAGTTACGTAGGAAGAGGCACTTTTGGAGAGACTTCGGCGGGTCTGGGGAGACACTGTACAGAAGCTTCTTTGTGAAAGAGACGGCCGATAGCTTCTTTCCCCAGCACAGACAGCTGCATAGCCACGGCAGCCCCTGTAATCAACCCGGCAGCAGAGCTGTCTTTGTAGGTAGGTTTGTGAATGTGTGGACCAAATCCTTAATTTGGCCACCCCTATTGGCCACTCATTGCTCTCAAATTACCTGTCTGTCTTCACTGCTCCTCTCAGGAGACCCCTATGCTTACCAGTTCCACTTTCTCGACTTCCCTGAGCTTCAACCAAATGCAATCTGGCTTCCAACACCATTTCGAAACTCCTTTTGAAGGTCACTAATGACCTAATCGCTATATCCAATGGCTTTCCCTCAGTGCTAATCTGACTTATGTCTCTGCAGAATTTAATACGACTGACACCTCCTTTTATTCTTTTTTTTTTTTTTGATATGGAGTCTCACTCTGTCACCCAGGCTGAGGTGCAGTGGCGCAATCTCAGCTCACCACAACTTCCGCCTCCCAGGTTCAAGTGATTCTCCGGCCTCAGCCTCCTCAGTAGCTGGGATTACAGCCGCGTGCCACCATGCCCAGCTACTTTTTGTATTTTTGGTAGACACAGGGTTTCACCATTTTGGTCAGGCTGGTCTCAAACTCCTGACCTCATTATCTGCCCGCCTTGGCCTCCCAAAGTGCTGGGATTACAGGCGTGAGCCACTGTGCCCGGCCAACAGCTTCCCTTCTATTTGGAATGCGTGTCCCCTTTTACAACTCCTTCGTGGTCATTTTTACCTGGGTGATCCTTGGGTACCTGCGGATCCCTGATCCTCTGAACCAACATGTGCTAAAAGAACTTTGTCTTTCTCTGCATTCCATCAGCAAGTGTTCCTAGCATTCCCATTTTTTGTTAATATTCTCAGGGTGGAAAGATGGAAAGTCAATTTTTATTATAAGATCTTCAATCTGGGCCAGGTGCGGTGGCTCACGCTGGTAATCCCAGCACTTTGGGAGGCTGAGGTGGGAGGATCACCTGAGGTCGGAGTTCAAGACCAGCCTGGCTAATACGGTGAAACCCTGTCTCTACTAAAAATACAAAAATTAGCTGGGCATGGTGGGGCACACCTGTAATCCCAGCTACTTGGGGGGCTGAGACAGGAGAATCGCTCGAACCTGGGAGACAGAAGTTGTGGTGAGCCGAGATTGTGACATTGCACTCCAGCCTGGGCGACAGAGCGAGACTGTCTCAAAATTAAAAAAAAAAAAAAAGCCCTCTCCCTCTCCCTCTCCCTCTCCCCACAGTCTCCCTCTCCCTCTCTTTCCACGGTCTCCCTCTGATGCCGAGCCGAAGCTGGACTGTACTGCTGCCATCTCGGCTCACTGCAACCTCCCTGCCTGATTCTCCTGCCTCAGCCTGCCGAGTGCCTGCGATTGCAGGCGCGCGCTGCCATGCCTGACTGGTTTTCGTATTTTTTTGGTGGAGACGGGGTTTCGCTGTGTTGGCCGGGCTGGTCTCCAGCTCCTAACCGCGAGTGATCTGCCAGCCTCGGCCTCCCGAGGTGCCGGGATTGCAGACGGAGTCTGGTTCACTCAGTGCTCAGTGGTGCCCAGGCTGGAGTGCAGTGGCGTGATCTCGGCTCGCTACAACCTCCACCTCCCAGCCGCCTGCCTTGGCCCCTCAAAGTGCCGAGATTGCAGCCTCTGCCCGGCTGCCACCCTGTCTGGGAAGTGAGGAGCGTCTCTGCCTGGCCGCCCATCGTCTGGGATGTGAGGAGCCCCTCTGCCTGGCTGCCCAGTCTGGAAAATGAGGAGCGTCTCTGCCCGGCCGCCATCCCATCTAGGAAGTGAGGAGCGTCTCTGCCCGGCCGCCCATCGTCTGGGAGGTGAGGAGCGTCTCTGCCCGGCCGCCCCGTCTGAGAAGTGAGGAGCCCCTCCACCCGGCAGCCGCCCCGTCAGAGAAGTGAGGAGCCCCTCCGCCCGGCAGCCACCCCATCTGGGAAGTGAGGAGCGTCTCCGCCCGGCAGCCACCCCGTCCGGGAGGGAGGTGGGGGGGTCAGCCCCCCGCCCGGCCAGCCGCCCCGTCCGGGAGGTGAGGGGCGCATCTGCCCGGCCGCCCCTACTGGGAAGTGAGGAGCCCCTCTGCCCGGCCGCCACCCCGTCTGGGAGGTGTGCCCAGCAGCTCATTGAGAACGGGCCATGATGACAATGGCGGTTTTGTGGAATAGAAAGGGGGGAAAGGTGGGGAAAAGATTGAGAGGTTGGATGCTTGCCGTGTCTGTGTAGAAAGAGGTAGACATGGGAGACTTCTCATTTTGTTCTGTACTAAGAAAACTTCTTCTGCCTTGGGATCCTGTTGATCTGTGACCTTACCCCCAACCCTGTGCTCTCTGAAACATGTGCTGTGTCCACTCAGGGTTAAATGGATTAAGGGCGGTGCAAGATGTGCTTTGTTAAACAGATGCTTGAAGGCAGCATGCTCGTTAAGAGTCATCACCACTCCCTAATCTCAAGTACCCAGGGACACAAACACTGCGGAAGGCCTCAGGGTCCTCTGCCTAGGAAAACCAGAGACCCTTGTTCACATGTTTATCTGCTGACCTTCCCTCCACTATTGTCCTATGACCCTGCCAAATCCCCCTCTGCGAGAAACACCCAAGAATGATCAATTTAAAAAAAAAAACAAAAAAAACACAAAAAAAACATTATATTATCGACTATACCTTAAATTATAATAAAATGTTATATATGTAATGGTAAAAAAAAAAAAAAGAGCTGCAATCTGATCAGCTGCTTGTGGCTTCCCTCTATAGTGCTATTCCTATTTATCCTTTCCTTTCTATTTTCATTGCTCCCACGTATTACGTTTGGTTATCCTCCTCTTTAATCATTGCTATGGAATATTTGTTAATATTTCTG
This sequence comes from Homo sapiens, assembly GCF_000001405.40. Lineage (NCBI taxonomy): Eukaryota > Metazoa > Chordata > Mammalia > Primates > Hominidae > Homo > Homo sapiens. The sequence goes on along the minus strand of NT_187613.1, from coordinate 344,441 downwards.
AAATATAACTATGATGACATCATCCTCCACGCAAAATCATACAGCTCCCTTGGCCACAAAATAGGATGCAAGATTGGGTGCGTTGGTGCAAGCCTGTAGTTTCCCAACTACTTGGGAGGCCAAGGTGGGATTGCTTGAACTCAGTTTAAGGCCAGTCTGTGCAACGTGGCAAGATCCCTCCCTCTCCCCACTTTATTTTTTGAGACAGGGTCTCGCTCTGTTACCCAGGCTGGAGTCCACTGGTGCAATCACAGTTCACTGCAGCCTCAACCTCCTGGACTCAGGAGATCCTCCTGCTTCAGCCTCTGAAACTGCTAAGATATGGCTCAGGCCTGTCATCCCAGCACTTTGGGAGGCCGAGGTGGGCAGATCACGAGGTCAGGAGATCGAGGCCACCCTGGCTAACATGGTGAAACCCCGTCTCTATTAAAAATACAAAAAATTGGCCGGGTGTGGTGGCATGTGCCCGTAGTCTCAGCTACTTGGGAGGCTGAAGCAGGAGAATTGCTTCAACCCGGGAGGTGGAGGTTGCAGTGAGCCGAGATCACGACACTGCACTCCAGCCTGGGCAACAGAGCGAGATGCCGACTCAAATAAAAAAAAAAAAAAACGTTTTTATAGACATGGAGTCTCGCTATGTTGCCCAGGCTGGGCTCAAGTCATCCTTCCGCATGGGCCTCCCAAGCGCCAGAAGCTGAAGCAATGTTCACTGAGTTATTCCTGCCTCCACAATCTTTATTTGATCTTGGTCCAACTCTTCTGTACCATGTACTCCACACCACCCTCATCTAACAAATTCCCTGCTCCTATTCATAGTGGGCCTAGGGAGGGAAAAAGGTTAAACAGGAGAAGACAAAGATCAGTGTGAGGGGAAAGTTGAGGCGTGAAAACTGGAGCTCCCCTGTCCCTGACAACTGTAACAGGGCCCAGTTCGTTTTTTTTCTTTTTCTTTGTTTTGAGACAGAGTTGTGCTCTTGTTGCCCAGGCTGGAGTGCAATGGTGTGCTCTCGGTTCACTGCACCCTCCCACTCCCGGGTTCAAGCGATTCTCCTGCCTCAGCCTCTGGAGTAGCTGGGATTACAGGCATGCACCACCACGCCCAGCTAATTTTTGTATATATATATAATTTTTCTTTTGAAACACAGTCTCACACTGTCGCCTGGGCTGGAGTGCAATGGGAGGATCTCGGCTCACTGTAACCTCCGCCTCCCGGGTTCAAGAGATTCTCCTGCCTCAGCCTCCTGAGTAGCTGGGATGACAGGCATGCACCACCATGCCAAGCTAATTTTTTGTATTTTTAGTAGAGACGGGGTTTCACTATATTGGCCAGGCTGGTCTCGAACTCCTGACCTTGTGATCCTCCCGCCTTGGCCTCCCAAAGTGCTGGGATGACAGGCATGAGCCGCCGCGCCCGGCCAGGGCCCGGTTCGTTACCCTGAGTCTAAAAGTGTCTGAAAAAGGCCCATGACCAGGCTTGGCCGAGAAAACTAGGACGTGGGCTGGGCGCGGTGGCTCACCCCTGGAATCCCAGCGCTTTGGGAGGCCGAGGGGGGGCGGATCATCTGAGGTCGGGAGTTCGAGACCAGCCTGGCCAACATGGTGAAACCCCATCTCTATTAAAAATACAAAAGCTGGGGGTGGTGGCGGGGGCCTGAAATCCCAGCTACTCGAGAGGCTGAGGCAGCAGAATCACTTGAACCCGGGAAGGCGGACGTTGTGGTAACCCGAGATCGCACCACTGCACTCCAGCCTGGGGAACAAGAGGGAAACTCCGTCTCAAAAAGAAAAAAGAAAAAAGAAAAAAGAAAAGAAAACCAGGGCGCGGTAGTGACAGCCTCAGATTTCGGGAAAGAAGACCTGCCATGACAGAAACCGTTACAGCCTCCGTCGTTCTTTTCCGCAGGTCGGGCCTCGGGCCCCGGTCTGACCCAGGTCTCTCGCTGGCTTTTTTCAGGAGCAGTCCCGGCCGGCCCCGCCTCAGCCCTTCTCGTTCCCCGGGGGCCGCTCCCTTTCGGCAGTCGCAGTTCCCGCCTCTGGGCTCCGGCGCCCGCTGAGCCGACAGAGGAGAGGCGTCTCGTGCGCTCGTTCCAGCCGCTTCGGGCGCCGAGTTCCAGGACCCGCCCCCCGCGCCAGTTGCCAGGGAGCGGTTGCCATAGAGCTGAGCAGTTGTCCGCGTGCGCAGGCGGAAGTCCCGGATTGAGGCGCCGCCATTTTTGCTGCCCGGACGCGGAGCGAGAGGCTGAGAGAGTCGGAGACACTATCCGCTTCCATCCGTCGCGCAGACCCTGCCGGAGCCGCTGCCGCTATGGATGATCGAGAGGATCTGGTGTACCAGGCGAAGCTGGCCGAGCAGGCTGAGCGATACGACGGTGAGTTGGGGGGGCAACGGGGGGCTGGAATTCTCGGACCCTCTGCCGCCGCCCACAGAGGCCGGGAACAGGAGACAAAATGGCGGCATCGTCTGCGAGCCTGGCCCGGGGGCTTGGGTTCGGGAAGCAGGAAATGGCCTGGGAGCTCCCGGGGCGATGGGAGGCTCTATGCCCTGGAATGTGACCCCTTCGCCGTCCTTAACTGCAAACAACTCGCGGGCCGGGAGGCCGGGGCGACGGGGTGGAGGAGTTGGTTGTAAAATGGCGGCTGGGGGGAGGGCGAGTCCCGGGGCGGGGGAGGGGGAGGAGATGGCGGGTGCTGTCTCCGAACGAGCCACCCTCATGGGAGCTTCTGGGACGGCCTTGGGATGTGGAGAACAATTGGGTGGGGTGACGGGGGAAGCAGCACCCGCCACATGGGAGAGAGCGAAGACCGGGAGCTGTAGCGCGGGCGCCTTTCAGGGAAATATGGCGGGTGGGGGCGGTGGCTTTTCCCCGGAGGCCCCGTGTGGGGCGGCGGCCGTGGAGTCTCACAAAGGAGGACCTTTGAGAGCGATGGGCTTCCTCAGGCCTGAGGTGGGGGACAGTCGTGGATGATGGTGGGGGGAGAGGGGTGAGTGGGAATCACTGCAGTTCGTCTTCGGGCGGTGGCAGGCTCCCATGCTGCGATCGGGTTTCTTTCCCGTAGGCCGGCACCTCGTAGTGAGGGGTTTCGGGGCTTTTCCTCCTCGTCGTCTTCTGGGGAGGCCCAGAAAATCCTCACTCCCTCCCTTTCCTCAGACTTAAAACAGGAGATCTCGAAGTTCCTGTAACCTTTCTCTGGCTCCATCACCCGTGGGTTCTGATGGATAGAACCAGGAGGCCACGACTCTGAGAGTTCGAGCCTTTGTAGAGCCCGAGCCTCCGTCCCCCCGTTTGTAAAAACGATGACTTTACAGTTTGTGCGCACCGTGATGACAAATGGGAAGACCTGTTGAAATAAAGTTATTTCCAATAGTGTTCAGTAACTGTATTTTGGTTGACTCTGCAGGCTCGGAATGCTGGTCTGTACTTCGTGGGGGATCTTAACCTATTCCAGGCGCTCGGCTGAGGCTGGGTTTTTTGAGTTATGAAGGTTGAAGATCCTGTTGCTTTCTTTTTTTCCGTTTTAAATAAATGGGTTTATGTAGAAATATTAGTAGGTCCTCTTTGTTCGTTGTTCTTTTGCCCCTAATGGGTTCTCCAGTCCTTTTTCAGAACTTCATCGAATGTCCATTGTGTCTGTCCAGTCATTGTCAGGAAGTTTATTCTTAATCCTCTCTCCCAGTCCACCTTTTGGACCACCTTTTGAAATACCCACACATTTATAATTGTGCGATACTGTAGTATTAAACGAAAGGTCATGTCTGTGGGTCCTGTGGTTTTAATGCTTTTGCGTGGTAGGGTGGGGTGAGACATGGTTGGAATCAAGTATCTTTGATTCTTAGATTTTTTTCCTAATTAAAATACCTATATTTCAAAATGTTAGGGCCCTTGCTTTCCTCGAAATGCGGATTTAGTCATGTGAATAACCTCAGGGTTAGTCCCCCTTATCATCAGAAATAAGATTCAGGGATTTGAAAATAAGACAAGGCCTCTAGAACTCATATTTAGGAAATATAGTGAACTAAATTTCGTCTTGTAAATTCTTAAATTGCTATTTGTATTCAACAAGGTTCCTGTTGGGGGGGGGGATAAGATGGGGAAGTACAGCTCAAGGTCTGCTTTGTCTTTATTTCAGTGTTTAAAAATCAAAGAGATATGAATGTGCTTGTATTGGAAGTCTCCTCCTCCGCCCCCTCATCTCCAGATGTTCCCCTCTTAATCTGTTAGTGTTCTTGGGAGGAAACAAATTGTACTTGAATGCTTTCTATTTTGTGGGTATTGGGGCTTTTTAAGTAAACTTGCTGTGATAACTAGAAAGGATGTGAGGAAAGGTCTTTTTCTTTTTGAAAGCTCCTTTAAAAAACTGATTTGAAAGCTTGTGATTGTAGTTTCCAAATAAAGTACAGGTTAGTGATAATTATATTTTTGATGTGAGTGGTGAGGATTTCTGACCAGAGCCCTTATTGGTTATTGAACATGGGACTCTGATACAGCCACATTATTACAGTTGTTAATGTTAGGTGTCCCCTTCAGGATCTAAAGGGGTAAGGAAATAGGATCTACAAGGTGAGGAGCTATTGCTGTGACTTGGGGCATAAGGTAGGGACTCAGTGGAAAGGAGAGGAGGAGGAGGAGACAGAAACCAGGAATTTCTACCTGTGTCCTCTACCTGTGTCCATTCCTTTATTGAGTGCGGTATTTTTTTGTTTCTGGTGGCAAAGTTTTCCCGGAGTTCTGGTCACCAAACAGAACTTAGCAGGTGTCGGGGGTGGAAGAAGGTAAGACAGTGTATTGGCAGGATTTCTTTGTTGGGTACTTGTACCCAAATGCTGGGTTTCCAGCTGCCCTTTTATCTCTCTGTTACTGCAGCAGGCTTATTTTATTTTGCTTGCTGTGTTGAATTAGTGCCTAAACTTCTTTGTATCCTCATTTAATTCTATCCTGGGGCGTTGGAATCAATTTATATGGATTATTTAACAGTACGGGAGGAAGAGCTAACCTGTGTTCAGGAAAATGACAATTTTGGGTCACAGGAAATATTTAAGTTTGGGGCTGGGAGTTGAAGATTAAATCTAGCATCTCATCACTTTAACAAGCCAGTAGTCTATTCGAATCGTTTTTACCTCCTTTGAAACCATATTAAGCAAGTCCATTATTTCTTAGCATTTCTCAAACAGCTCTTACTGTCCCGTATATGAAATAGTACAAGAAAGTGGGGAAGAAAGGCCGGGCGGGGTGGCTCACGCCTGTAATCCCAGCACCTTGGGAGGTCGAGGCGGGTGGATCACCTGAGGTCGGGAGTTCAAGACCAGCCTGGCCAACATGGTGAAACCCTGTCTCTACAAAAATAAAAAAATTATCCGGGCATAGCTACTGAGGAGGTTGAGGTGGAAGAATCACTTGAACCCGGGAGGTGAAGGTTGTAGTGAACCAGGATTATGGCATTACACTACAGCCTGGGCAACAGAGCGAGACTCTTGTCTCCAAAAAAAAAAAAAAGAGGCCAGGTGCGGTGGCTCATGCCTGTAATCCCAGTACTTTGGGAGGCCAAGGCGGGTGGATCACCTGAAGTCAGAAGTTCGAGACCAGCCTGACCAACATGGAGAAACCCCGTCTGTAGTAAAAATACAAAATTAGCCGGGGGTGGTGGGTGCCTGTAATCCCAGCTACTTGGGAGGCGGAGGCAGGAGAATCACTTGAACCCGGGAGGCCGAGGTTGCGGTGAGCCGAGATTGCGCCATTGCACTCCATCCTGGGCAACAGCAACAATAAAAAACGGGGAATATAGAGGGGAAAAGTTTACCCGTTTTTGGGGAGCAGAGGGGTAACATAAACTACATTTGGGCTTGTGGGGCTGTTGTTGGTTTTGTCCTTTCCTAGTCTCTTCCCTATCAAGATTGGCTTCATGGAAGGTAGGATGAAGTTTTGATGGTCATGTTGGATTCCCTAGGAATGCATCTGTTGAGTCATTTACTTGAGAGCTGTCTTTTTTTTCTTTTGAGACGGAGTCTCGCTCTGTCTCCCAGGCTTTATTGAAGTGGCACAATCTCGGCCCACTGCAACCTCCGCCTCCAGGGTTCAAGCGATTCTCCTGCCTCACCCTCCCGAGTAGCTGGGACTACAGGCATGTGCCACCATGCCATGCTAATTTTGTATTTCTTTTTTAGTAGAGACACGGTTTCTCCATGTTGGTCAGGCTGGTCTCGAACTCCCGACCTCAGGTGATCCGCCCACCTCAGTCTCCCAAAGTGCTGACATTAAGGACCTGAGCCACCGCGCCTGGTCAAGAGCTGTCTTTTTTTTGAGACGGAGTCTTGCTCTTGTCGCCCAGGCTGTAGTGCAATAGCGCGATCTCGGCTCACTGCAACCTCCATCCCCTGGGTTCAAGCGATTCTCCTGCCTCAGCCTCCAAGAGTAGCTGGGATTACAGGCATCCGCCACTATGCCAGGCTAATTTTGTATTTTTAGTAGAGATGGGGTTTCGCCATGTTGGCCAGGCTGATCTCGAACTCCTGACCTCAGGTGATCCGCCCGCCTCGGCCTCCCAGAGTGCTGGGGTTACAGGCGTGAGCCACTGAGCCCGCTGAGAGCTGTCCTTTTAAAACACCAGATCCTCATCTCTAGCTAGCTTATTCTGCTAGTTAGTGAAGAACAGGGAAGGGAGCATGTGTGGAATGAACTTTTTACTACGGTCTTGTTAGGAAAAAAATAGGTAGTAGTAAATTAACGTTGTTAATAAGTTTAGAAGTATTTAGATTAACTACCAGTTCTTTGACTGTAGGCCAGTAATTTTCCATTGCCGTTTCAGTTAATGGACTAACTTTCTGGAGTAAAGTTTATTTTTCTCCTTCTTAAATGCATAGACAGAACTGAGTAACGTAGTGTTAAAAATCCCTTCTACGACTGGGCTCTGTCCCCCAGGCTGGAGTGCAATGGCGTGGTCTTGGCTCACTGCAACCTCCGCCTCCCAGGTTCAAGCGGTTCTCCTGGCTCAGCCTCCCAAGTAGCTGGGACTACAGGCGCGTGCCACCACACTCGGCTAATTTTTTGTATTTTTAGTAGAGACGAGGTTTCACCATGTTGGCCAGGATGGTCTTTATCTCCTGATCTCAGGTGATCTGCCCACCTCAGCCTCCCAAACTGCTGGGATTACAGGTGTGAGCCACCGCACCCAGCCAATTTTTGTGTTTTTGGTAGAGACAGGGTTTTACCATGTTTGCCAGGCTGGTCTTGAACTCCTGACCTCAGGTGATCTGCCTGCCTCGGCCTCCCAAAGTGTTGGAATTACAGGCGTGAGCCACCACACCCGGCCTGATTGTTTTTTTTTTTCATGGATGACTGTAAGGGTGACTGATACTGCAGGCATATTTTTTCTTTATATTTCAAGAACACTGTGTACACAAACAGTAATGACAAGCATGGAGTAAAGGCTGCAGTTTTATTTTTATTTATTTTTTTGAGACAGTCTTGCTCTGTCACCTAGGGTGGAGTGTAGTGGTAGGATCTCGGCTCACTGCAGCCTCTGCCCCCTGGGTTCAAGCGATTCTCCTGCCTCTGCTTCCCGAGTAGCTGGGACTACAGGCGCCCGCCATCGCACCTGGCTAATTTTTGTATTTTTAGTAGAGATGGGGTTTCACCATGTTTGCCAGGCTGATCTCTGACTCCTGACCTCAGGTGATCCTCCCGCCTCAGCCTCCCAAAGGGCTAGCATTACAGGTATGAGCCACTGTACCTGGCCTAAATTTTTAATTTTTTAATGGGCACATATTAGGTGTATGTATTTATGGGAAGGCTAAATTAAAAAAAAATTTTTTTTTGAAACAGGGTCTTGCTTTGTGACCCAGGCTGAAGTGCAGTGTCGCCATTATAGCTTACTGCAGGCTCGACCTCCTGAGTTCCAGTGACCCTCCTGCCTCAGCTTCCCTAGTAGCTGGGACTGTTGCACCGGCCTAATTTTTGTGTTTTTTTTTTTTTTTTTTTTTTTTTGTGGATTTGAGGTCTCTATGTTGCCCAGGCTGGTCTTGAATTCCTGGACTCCCACCTTGGCCTCCCAAAGTGCTGGGATTACAGGTGTGAGTCACTGCTTCTGGCCTAAACTTTACATATGTGTATATGACATTATGCAGTACCTCAGTTCACAGCCCACGTTGACAAAAGTTTTTAATTTATGTAACAAGATTGAAGCAGGTAGAGCGTTACTCCCATTTTCTGGTTCAAGAAAGTGAGTTTGAGAGAGAGATTTTTTTATGATCATGTGGCTAATCAGTTATTAAATGGTAAAGCCAGAACTTAGTGTCTGCTGACCTTTAGATCGGTACACTTACTCTCAGCCACTCAAAAGACCTCTGTGAAGTAAGGTGGTGCCTTTCAGGGGAGTAGGGGGTGAGTAGCGTATGCTTGATGCTTGTTCTTTAACAATTCTAATAGCATCTACTTCACATCTTGATGTTTGTGATGACTGATATCCATGGTGAATTGTAGACAAAATCTTTTCACTTTCCTAAAGAAACCTGATGGTTTTTTTCAGAGATAAAATCCCATCTCAAGGCACAGCGAAATTAAAATGAGGTGAAGTTTAGGTACTCTCAGAATGTTTATTCGCATACAGATTCTTAAAAAACATGATTTATTGTAGGCAGATGTCACCTCTTTAAGCAAAAGAAAAAAACAACCAAAAAAAGAAAAGCCCCAGCCGGGTTCCGCGGCTCAAACACCTGCAATCCCAGCACTGTGGGAGGCCGAGGTGGGCGGATCACCTGAGGTCAGGAGTTTGAGACCATCCTGACCAACATGGTGAAAACCAGTCTCTACTAAAAATACAAAAATTAGCTGGCCTGTGATGGCTTGTGCCTTTAGTCCCAGCTACTGAGGAGGCTGAGGTGGGAAATCGCTTGACCCTGGGAGGTGGAGATTGCAGTGAGCCCACATCGCACCATTGCACTCCAGTCTGGGCCACAGAGGGAGAGCCTGTCTCAAGAAAAGAAAAGCCCCGTAGTTTATCATAATGTCTGTACTGGGATATGGCTGATGCTATGCATTTCTGTAAAGTAGCTTTAAAATATTTTCTCCTCTCACTTTTATCTTTTTCCTTTTTTTTTTTTTGAGACAGGGTCTCACTTGGTCACCCAGGCTGTAGTGCAGTGGTGCGATCTTGGCTCACTGCAGCCTCTACCTTCCAGTCTCAGGTGATCCCCCCACCTCAGCCTCTTAAGTAGCTGTTTTTTTTGTTTGTTTGTATGTTTTTAAATTTTATTTATTTATTTATTTATTTATTTATTTATTTATTTTTTGGAGAGATGGAGTCTTGCTCTGTCACCCAGGCTGGAGTGCTGGAGTACAGTGGCGCGATCCACCACTCCCAGCTAATTTCTTTTGTGTTTTAGTAGAGATGGGGTTTCACCATGTTGCCCAGGCTGGTCTTGGAATTCCTGGACTCAAGCAATCTGTCAGACTTGGCCTCCCAAAGTGCTGGGATTATAGGCGTGAGCCACCACCCCCGGCCACCTTTGTCTTAGTGAATGCTATTAAGTTGTTAGGTTAGTGATGTAGTCATACAACTTTTTTTTTTTTTTGAGATGGATTTTCCCTCTTGTCATTCAGGCTGGAGTGCAGTGGCGTGATCTTGGCTCACTGCAGCCTCCGCCTCCTGGGCTCAAGTGATTCTCCTGCCTCAGCCTCCCGAGTAGCTGAGACTACAGACTTGGGCCATCATGCTTGGCTAATTTTTGTATTTTTAGTAGAGACAGAGTTTCACCATATTAGCCAGGCTGGTCTTCAACTCCTGACCTCAGGTAGTCCGCCTGCCTCAGCCTCCCAAAATGCTGGGATTATAGGTGTGAGCCACCGCACCCGGCCAGATATAGACATACAACTTCTAGGAGGGACAAAGGTTGGCATATGATTCACCAGTGTTGTTCCGGGTGGTTGGCTAGATAGCTGTCTAATGGAATCCATTAAGGAGTAGGAAAGAGCAGCAAGAAAAATGGCTATTTTCACTATTTTTGAAATGGTCAGTTAACAGTTTGAGATAGATACATATACTTTTTTGAGACAAGGTCTTGCTTTGTTGGCCAGGCTTGGATTGCATTGATGCAGTAACGATTCACTGCATCCTCAACCTCCCAGGCCCAAATGATCATCCCATCTCAGCCTCCCACTTAGCTGGGCCCACAGCTGTGCACCACAATACCTGGATAATTTAAAAGAACTTTTTTTTCTTTTTCTTTTTCTTTTTTCCCGAGACAAGATCTCAGTATATTACTCAGGCTGGGATGCAGTGTCACATTTATGGCTCACTGCAGCTTTGACCCCCTGGGCACCTCAGCATGCCAAGTAGCTGGGGCTACAGAAGTATACCACCACTTCTGGCTAATTTTTGTAGAGACAGGATTTTACCATGTTGCCCAGGTCTTGAACTCGAGCTCAAGATTCACCTGCCTCGGCCTCCCAAAGTTTTGCGATTACAGGCGTGAGCCACCATGGCTGGCAAAAAAATTTTTTTGGTAGAGGCCTGGTCCCAGCGGATTGCCCAGGCTGATGTTGAACTCCTGAGCTCATGTGATCTTCCCACCAGGTAGCTGGTACCGCCATGACCAGCTAATTAAAACTTTTTTTTTGTGGAGACGGGATCCCACTGTGTTGTCCAGGTAACTCCTGGGTTCAAGCGATCCTCCCACTGTGGCCTCCCCAAAGTGCAGGGATTATAGGCATGAACCACTGCGCCCGGCCAGCTTGATATATTTAGGTATTGATATATCCAAATTGACGAATTGGTTGCCAACAGAACCTCATGGTTCTCTGACTAAATGTTAATGCTAGTCATGGCCCTAAGAACAATTTCAGATGTTCATTTAAATTTATTAAATTGTAGCAAATAATAATGAAAGTCACCATAATTTAACATCCACATGAGTATATCTTGAAAAGACAGACTAATTCATCAGCTACAACAGCAGGCATAAACTGGGATTGTCCTGGGCAACAAACTTGCCTTGTGGTCACCCTACTTAATGGCCATTTGTTACTAGATTTTGTCATTTAGACTCATACAACAGTTTCCTAAACGTTGTCCAGCTTTTTATCACAGAGATAGCTTAGATCTACGTCTCTAGGAGGTTGAATTTTTTTTTTTCAAATGAAGTTAGCCTTTGGCAGAATATAAGTCAAAGGAAAAGTGAAAATTTCCTCCTCCTAGCTCCCTCCCCCACAAATGGGAACGTGCTAGTTAAGGATGTGGTAGTTGCTGAAAATAGAGCTTGCTGGCATTCCAAATCCTCTGATGGTGTCAACACCTAGTGTGTTGGTTTTCTTATGGCTACCTTGAGCCAGTTCTGTGTTTAAAAATATAATAGACCTAGGTGTTGGTAGCAGTGTCCTAAGCTCAGAGCTTTCCCTACATACATTTTATTTTTTTATTTTTACAAGTGTCTTTCATACCAAATACCCACATAAAAATTTAAAGGCTCACCCATATCTTGTTACAACTGTTATGTTTAGAATGCCAAACTGTGTAGTTCAGACCATATGACCATGATCCTGGCTTATCTCTTCTGAAATTTTTATCTTGAATTTATTGCCCTTCCAACAATCTACCATAGTAGCTGGACGGATCTGTTGTTGGTGGGCTTGATTTGTGATCAGATCAGGATTTTATCGAGCTAAAGCAATATGAAATGTGTTTAACTCTTCATTCATATCTAAAGTTTGAAGGAGATGCATTACTGTAAGAGTTATGACAGTATTTCATCATTTGGCAGATGTGGTAAATCTGCCATCACAGAATGCACAGGAATCACTGGGTTCCTTATCTTTCAAATGGGGATTAGTGATGTCTCTCTTGCCTACTAATTTGCAGGGTGGTTATGAAATTTTGGGCTTTTGTAAACTGTAAAGTGTAATACTTGTCGGTACTATTTGTTGTGAAACATTCTTATCTAATGTGAAAGGTCAGATAATTGTTTTTGTTACTGCTGTGCTAGGATCATATTAGATGATAACCTACCTTTTTGAGTTATTCTTAGCAAGTGTAGTCTTCTGGGCTTAGTCCTTATGTAAGATATGCACAAAGAAATATTCTCAAAATCCTTAATCTTACATCTGTAAATTTGCATATCCAAAGTAAAGGTCGTCCAGATTATTCCCAAATAATAATTTTGTCATGTTGAGCTGGTATATAGTTGTTTTGATATTAATTTTAGATTAATAAGAGACTTTCTCCTTAGCAAACGTAACACCTTTTGTCTGAATTTGGGATGAAAGCTGCTGTAATATGAAAATGTAGGCTGGGTGCAGTGGCTCACACCTGTAATCCCAGCACTTTGGGAGGCCAAGTTGGGCGGATCACCTGAGGTCGGGAGTTCAAGACCAGCCTGACCAACATGGAGAAATCCCATCTATACTAAAAAATACAAAATTAGCTTGAAGTGGTGGCAGGCGCTTGTAATCCCAGCTCCTCGGGAGGCTGAGGCAGGAGGTTTGCTTGAACCTGGGAGGCGGAGGTTGCAGTGAGCCGAGATTGTACCATTGCACTCCAGCCTGGGCGACAAGAGCAAAACTCTGTCTCAAAAAAAGAAAGAAAGAAAATGTAAATAATTGGCCAGGTACGGTGGCTCACGGCTGTAATCCCAGGACTTTGGGAGGCCGAGGCGGGCGGACTACGAGGTCAGCAGATTGAGACCATCCTGGCTAACACAGTGAAACCCTGTCTCTACTAAAAATACAAAAAATTAGCTGGGCGTGGTAGCGGGCGCCTGTAGTCCCAGCTGCTCAGGAGGCTGAGGCAGGAGAATGGCATGAACCCGGGAGGCGGAGCTTGCAGTGAGCCAGGATCGCGCCACTGCACTCCAGCCTGGGCAACAGAGCGAGACTCCATCTCAAAAAAAAAAAAAAAGAAAGAAAACGTAAATCATTGTTAAATGTTCGCATTTTAGCCATCTCAGATTACTTAAGAAAAATGGTGTTAGCTATGACCAATTTTGTGAAATGTGATTCTAAAGGCATAATATAAGCCTTGGACAGTGAATGGGTTTTGATTAATAAAAAGCTACTAAATACTACTTAATCCCTGGGTTAGTCAGCTGAAGACTTTGTAGGACCTTGGAGTGGTTGTTGTGAACACCTTTATGTTGAAATTTAAGTGTTTAAATGTTAGTAGGGGCCACGTGCAGTGGCTAATAATCCCTGTAATTCCAATACTTTGGAAGGCAGAGGCGGGAAGATCCCTTAAGCCCAAAAGTTTGAGACCAGCCTGGGCAACATAGTGAGACCCTGTTTCTACAAAAAGAAACAGAATTAGCTTGACCTAGTGGCATGTGTCTGTAGTCTCAGCTACTTGGGAGGCCAAGGTGGTAAGATTTCTTGAGCCCGGGAGGTCGAGGCTGCAGTGAGCCATGATAAGACCACTGCACTCCCACCTGGGTGACATAGTGAGACCCTGTCTCAAAAAGGAAAGGAGAAAGATTTAGTGGGATTAATGACTTGTATTTGATTGTAATAGGTTTACTTGTAAAATAGTTAAGATTTATGATAGGATTACCGTGAAATTTTCAAGAACGTTATTTGACCAGAAAATATTGTCACTGTTGTATGACAGTTATGACAGTTTTTGTAGATTTTTAGAAACACATTCATGAGTATGAAATACTTAATGCAGAATATACTACTTAGGAAACATTAAAATATTAAAGTGTTGAAATTTTGATGGGGGTTTCTTAGCTCATCAAAGAATTGACATACCTGTAATCTCATTGCTTTTGGAGGCCAAGGTGGGAGGTCATTTGAGGCCAGGAGTTTGAGACCAGCCTGGGCAACATTGCAAGACTCCGTTTCTATTAAAAAAAAAAAAAAAAAGGCTGGGCATGGTTTGCTCATGCCTGTAATCCTAGCACTTTTTTTTTTTTTGAGACAGAGTCTTGCTCTGTTGCCCAGGCTGGAGTGCAGTGGCGCTCCACTTGCATCTTGGCTCACTGCAAGCTCCACCTCCTGGGTTCACTCCATTCTCCTGCCTCAGCCTCCGGAGTAGCTGGTACTACAGGCGCCTGCCACCACGCCCGGCTCATTTTTTGTATTTTTAGTAGAGACGGGGTTTCACCGTGTTAGCCAGGATGGTCTTGATCTCCTGATCTCACGATCCGCCCAACTCAGCCTCCCAAAGTGCTGGGATTACAGGCGTGAGCCACAGCGCCTGGCCAATCCTAGCACTTTGGGAGGCCGAGGAGGGCAGATCACGAGGTCAGGAGTTCGAGACAAGCCTGACCAACAGGGTGAAACCTCGTCTCTACTAAAAAAAAAAAAAAAAAAAAAAAACCAACCAAAAAAAAAAACAAAAATTACCCAGGCGTGGTGGTGGCACGTGCCTGTAATCCCAGCTACTCAGGAGGTTAAGGCAGGAGAATCACTTGAACCCGGGAGGCAAAGGTTGCAGTGAGCCGAGATAGTGCCCCTGGGCTCCAGCCTGAACGACAGAGTGAGACTCCGTCAAAAAAAAAAAAAAAAAAAAAGCCAGGTGCAGTGGCTCACTCCTGTAATCCCAGCACTTTGGGAGGCCAAGAAGGGTGGATCACCTGAGGTCAGGAGTTCAGGATCAGGCTGGTGAACATGGTGAGACCCCCCGTCTCTACTAAATATACAAAAAATTAGACGGGCGTGGTGGCGTGCGCTTGTAATCTCAGCTATTCGGGAGGCTGAGGCAGCAGAATCGCTTGAACTCGGGAGGTAGAAAGCTGCAGAATGCCGAGATTGTGGCACTGCACTCCAGCCTGGGAAACAGTAAGACTCCATCCCCGCCTACTGCCCCCACCCCCGCAAAGAAATGCTTAACACTCTCAACCACTTGAGAAAACATGTCAAACTTCTTAAAAATCTGAATGTAAAGTTAATCCTTCTACTAAACCGAATTGGACCCAAGGGTTATTTGTGGTCATTTTCTTCCTTAGTATTCCAAAACAGAATTTTAAAGTATTTTTTGTTTCAGTGTCTTTTCTAATTCCATAAAAACTGTAAAAAGATTCAGACTTTGATCTACCTGTTTTTCCTGTACTTAGTGTTTTAGGTCATTGATCTCCCCAGCCTCTTATTTTCCACCTCAGGTTTCACTGGAGCTTCACCTGTTTGGTTCTACTGCAGCCGAACGTGTTTATGAGGGAGTATCCTCGTAAATTGAGAGGAGAAATCTCCCATTCTGATGGAGCAGGGGATTACTCCCCCACCCCCAATATTTTTATTTTTGTTTTTTAATCTTTGTGTCATTCCAACTTTAGTACATGTGCTGCCAAAGTGAGCACAACCCTGCCCTAAATATTGAGACCAAAGGGAAAAGTAGCTTTTGCAGTCAAAATTGTAGAATCTTGGTAAAAGATTGTCTTGTTTTTGTTTCTTTTTAACCTAGCAAAAGCTGATTTGGAAAGGAGTCTTAAAGTTTCATAGAAGGTTACACAATTCATGTTTTCCTCTTTTTTTTTTTTTTCCTTTTGAGACGGAGTCTCACTCTGTTGCCCAGACTGGAGTGCAATGGCGCGATCTTGGCTCACTGCAGCCTCCACCTCCTTGGTTCAAGTGATTCTCCTGCCTCAGCCTCCTGAGTAGCTGGGATTACAGGCACCTGCCACCATGCCTGGCTAATTTTTGTTTTTTCTTCAGTAGAGACGGGTGTTTCACCGTGTTGGCCAGGCTGGTCTCAAACTTCTGGCCTCAGGTGATCCGCCTGCCTTGGCCTCCCAGAGAGCTGGGATTATAGGCGTGAGCCACCGTGCCTGGCTCATGTAGTTACTTTTAGAGTGAGGAGAGGTACCTCTGTATAGGCTGGTATATGAAGAGTAAAAGTTGTCCTTGAGTGTCAAGATTATTGTCTTTTGAAAAGCCTTAATCAAAGTATTAAAGTACTAAAAAACAAGTTCCCAAACTCATTTGACAAATACTTACTGAATGCCGACTATGTACCAGGCACTGTTCTAGACACTTTAGACACTTGGGATTCATCAGTGAACAAAATAGACAAAAGATCTTTTCAAGGACTTTATATTCTAGTGAATGTATGATTGCTTTCGGAGTTACTCTGTTCCTATGTGTAATTAAGAGTTAGTTTAAATTAATTAGCACCAATGGTGTCTGGTATATGCAGGGTACTGTATCAGTTGCTGGGTGTCCCATGTTAAAGACTGTAGAAAGCTCAGTGTTTCTTCACTGACTACTGGTGTAAAATGGTACTAACAAATTGAAAAACCTCTTTAAAGTGTTTCATTGTGATGAAACCCTGTAATAATAATATCATCTACTGTTTATTGGCTATTTCTTTCACTTGTTATCCAAACAGCCATGCAAAGTACTACCCATTTTACAGATAAGGATCCAGTACTTGAGGAAAAGTGACAACACATTTGAAATGTCACTGGTATTCTGCCAAGGCTGGTGCCCTGCAAAGCTGGTACTCCTTCCACTTCGGAAGGAGTTTCTTGTGTGTAAACGTCAGTCCAGACTGCTTGAGGCTTTCTTTTCTTTTTTTCCCCCTTTTTTGTGGAGACTGGGGGTCTCTGTGTTGCCCAGGCTGGTCTTTCAGCTGGGCTCAAGAAGTCCTCCTGCCTTGGCCTCCTAAAGTGCTGGGATTATAGCAGTCTTTTGGCTCAGCTTCTCTCTGAATAGTGTTGTCTTTAATGTATGAAGAAGACAGAATGGAATGTAGGCTGAGTATATTTTGCAGGTAACAGGTAATGGAACTAGTATTGGGATAGGAGCCATTAAATTCAGGAGCAGGCCACCTGCATCCTCCGTCTTCCTTCCTTCCCTCCTCCCCCACCCTCTGAAAAACCTACTTTGTTTTTAACTCTTTGATACATGCAGGGGTCCCCAGTGCCCAGGCCATGCACCCATACTGGTCTGTGGAAAAATTGTCTTCCACGAAACTGGTCCCTGGTGCCACAAAGGTTGGGGACCACTGATATTTGGGACTAGAGCTTTATAAATGGCTGGATAAGAAGCTCTGGGAACTTAGTAAATTGCAGTATGGTGTACTTTTTCGTTGTGTACCTTTTCAGTAGATGACTTTTGAGGCATGTAGTTGGGAGGCCTGGGGGACTGATCACAGGGGACCTTGGTGTTTTCCTCTAGACCAGTTGCTGGTAGATTTTCATCTTCTCAACAATGAATAACTGCACATCATTAACATGGTCTTAATGCCTTTATCTTATTGCTGCAGATTTTTTCTTAACCTTTAACTTTTCTGGTTTCAGAATGCTGCCAACATTTCTGTATTCATTTTATCTTTACTTTTTTTTTTTTTTTTTTTGAGACAGAGTCTTTCCCTGTCACCCAGGGTGGAGTGCAGTAGAGGGTGAGCTTCAGCCAAGGAGTGTTATGGTCATGCCTGTGAATAGCCACTGCAAGGCAGCCAGGGCAACATAGGGAGACTCCTCTAAAAAGAAAAAACAAACCTGAAACTGATTTTAAAAAAAATTTCTTTGGGAGGCCAAGGCAGGCAGATCATCTGTGGTTGGGAGTTCAGGACCAGCCTGACCAACATGGAGAAACCCGTCTCTACTAAAAATACAAAAAAAAATTAGCCAGGCTTCGTGGCGCATGCCTCTAATCCCAGCTACTCCCAGGAGGCGGAGGCAGGAGAATCTCTTGAACCCGGGAGGCGGAGGTTGCAGTGAGCCGAGATAGCGCCATTGCACTCCAGCCTGAGCAACAAGAGAAAAACTCTGGGCTGGGCGCAGTGGCTCACTCCTTTAATCCCAGCACTTTGGGAGGCTGAAGCGGATGGATCATAATGTCAGGAGTTCAAGACCAGCCTGGTGAAACCCTCAAAATACAAAATACACTCCATTATCCTGCCTCAGCCTCCTGAGTAGCTGGGAGTACAGGTGCCTGCCACCATGCCTGGCTAATTTTTTTTGTATTTTTAGTAGAGACAGGGTTTCACCGTGTTAGCCAGGATGGTCTTGATCTCCTGACGTTGTGATCTGCCCGCCTTGGCCTCCCAAAGTGCTGGGATTACAGGCGTGAGCCACCGCGCCCGGTCGAGCATAAATCTTTTTACATGTGTACTCTTAATGTTTTGAGATGTGGTCTCACTCTTGCCCAAGCTGGTGTGCAGTAGCAGACACACCTCACTGCAGCCCTCACCTCCTGGGCTCAAGCAATCCTCCCACCTCTGCGTCCTGGGTAGCTGGGACTACAGGTGTGCCCACCATGCCTGGCTAATTTATTTTTTATTTTTATTTTTTTGAGACAGGGTCTTGCTCTTTCTCCCATGCTGGAGAGCAGTGGCTGGATCTTGGCTCACTGCAGCTTTCGCCTCCTGGGTTCAAGCAGTTCTCTGCCTCATCTTCCCGAGTGGCTGGGATTACAGGCACCTGCTTAACGCGTGGCTAATTGTTTTGTATTTTTAGTAGAAATGGGGTTTCACCATGTTGGCCAGGTTGGTCTTGAACTCTTGACCTTGTGATCCACGTGCCTCGGCCTCCCAAAGTGCTTGAATTACAGGCGTGAGCCACTGTGCCCAGCCCTCTTCGGCTAATTTTTTAAATGTGTGAAGAGATGGGGTCTTGCCATATTGCCCAGGCCGGTCTTGAACTCTTGGGCTCAGGAAATCTTCCCACCTCAGCCTCCCAAAGTGCGGAGATTGCGGGAATACTCTATTTTCTGAAAAGGTTTATTAACTGTTTATAATACTAGCAACTTACGATTGTGCAGCACAAAATTTAACTAAAAACTTGTGTTTTAAAAAATTGTTTAAACAAGGGCCGGGTGCAGTGGCTCACACCTGTAATCCTAGTACTTTGGGAGGCCGAGGCGGGTGGATCACCTGAGGTCAGGAGTTCAAGACCAGCCTGGCCAACATGGCGAAACCCATCTCTACTAAAAATACAAAAACTTGCCGGGCGTGGTGGCACGTGCCTGTAATCCCATCTTCTGGTAGGGGCTGAGACAGGAGAATTGCTTGAACCCGGGAGGTAGAGGTTGCCAGGAGCTGAAATTGTGCCACTGCACTCCAGCCGGGGCAACAGACCAAGACTCCGTCTCAAAAAAAAAAAAAAAAGTTAAACAGTATGTGAAATAGTTTTTCCATTTCTTTTTTTAAACGGAGTTTCGCTCTTGTTGCCCAGGCTGGAGTGCAATCGCGCGATCTCAGCTCGCGGAAACCTCGTCCTCCCAGGATCAAGCAATTCTCCTGCCTCAGCCCCCAGAGTAGCTGGGATTACAGGCATGCGCCACCATGCCTGTCTAATTTTGTATTTTTAGTAGAGATGGGGTTTCTCTATGTTGGTCAGGCTGGTCTCGAACTCTCGACCTCAGGTGATCCATGTGCCTCGGCCTCCCAAAGTGCTGGGATTACAGGCGTGAGCCACCACGACCAGCCAGTTTTTCCACTTTTGTTTTGCCTTTTTTTTTTTTTTCTTTCTTGAGACGGAATCTTGCTTTGTCACCTGGGCTGGAGTGCAGTGGCATGAGGTCAGCTCACTGCAACCTCAGCCTCCCAGGTTCAAGCAATTCTCCTTCCCCAGCCTCCCAAGTAGCTGGAATTACAGTCATATGCCAACACACCTGGATAATTTTTGTATTATTAGTAGAGATGGGGTTTCGCCAGGTTGGCCAGGCTGGTCTCGATCTCCTGACCTCAAGTGATCCGCTGGCCTCAGCCTCTCAAATTGCTGGGAATACAGGTATGAGCCACCGCACCTGGCCTGTTTTTCATTTCTTACTGCAAAAGATGAATTTAAATGTAAAGTCAGCAGTACAGCCATATCAAGTAAATAATGAAAACTACTGGCCAGGCGTGGTGGCTCACGCCTGTAATCCTAGCACTTTGGGAGGCCGAGGCGGGTGGATCACAGGGTCAGGAGATTGAGATCATCCTGGCTAACATAGTGAAACCCCGTCTCTACTAAAGATACAAAAAAAAAATTAGCCTGGCCTGGTGGTGGGCGCCTGTAGTCCCAGCTACTTGGGAGGCTGAAGCAGGAGAATGGCCAGAACCCGGGAGGCGGAGCTTGCCGGTAGAGCTTGCAGTGAGCTGAGATTGCGCTGCTGCACTGTAGCCTGGTCAACAGAGTGAGACTCCATCTCAAAAAAAAAAAAAAGGCCGGGCGCGGTGGCTCAAGCCTGTAATCCCAGCACTTTGGGAGGCCGAGGCGGGCAGATCATGAGGTCAGGAGATCGAGACCATCCTGGCTAACACGGTGAAACCCCATCTCTACTAAAAATACAAAAAATTTGCCGGGCATGGTGGTGGGCGCCTGAAGTCCCAGTTACATGGGAGGCTGAGGCAGGAGAATGGCGTGAACCCGGGAGGCGGAGGTTGCCGTGAGCCGAGATTGCGCCACTGCACTCCAGCCTGGGTGACAGAGCGAGACTCCATCTCAAAACAAACAAACAAAAAAACTACTACTTATGCCGCAAGTAACTTGTCAGTGGTTTGAGTCTCCTTTAATAACTTTTTCTTTGCTCCAGTGCCTATATATCTGTGTTTTTTTTTCCTTTTCTGTCTGCCTGTCTTTTTTTTTTTTTTTTTTTTTTTGACATAGTGTCGCTCTCTCGTGCAGGCTGGAGTACAGTGGGCCAGTCTGGGCTCACTGCAGCCTTGACCTCTCACGTTCCAGTGATCCTCCCACCTCAGTCCTATGCCTGGGACTGCAGGCATGCACCACCAGGCCTGGCCAATTTTTGTATTTTTTTGTAGAGACAGGGTTTCGCCATGTCTCCTAGGCTGGTCTTGAACTCCTGAGTTGAAGCGATCCACCCGCGTTGGCCTCCCAAAGTGCTGGGATTACAGGCCTGAGCCTTTGCGCTCGGCCTTCCTCAGTGCATTTATGTTACGTTTTGATTAGTTGATAGTTTGAAATTCCCCTCCCCCCTTTACATGCATTCTTGAGCCTTTCGTGTTTTATTTACTTATTTTTTTGAGTTTATTGATTTATTTGGAGATGAGTCTTGTCCTGTTGCCCATGCTGGAGTGCAGTGACACAATCTCAGCTCACTGCAACCTCCACCTCCCGGGTTCAAGGGATGCTCGTGCTTCAGCCTCCTGAGTAGCTGGGATTACAGCCACCACGCCTGGCTAATTTTTTGTGTTTTTAGTAGAGTCGGGGTTTCTCCATGTTGGTCAGGCTGGTCTCGAACTCCTGACCTCAGGTGAGTCACCCGCCTCAGCCTCCAAAAGTGCTGGGATTACAGGCGTAATCCCACCACACCCGGACTAATTTTTGTATTTTTAGTGGAGGTGGGGTTTCGCCATGTTGGCCAGGCCAGTCTGTAACTCCTGACCTCAAGTGATTGTTAGCCTCCCGAAGTTCTGGGATTACAGACGTGAGCCACTGCGCCCAGCCTCTTGGACCATTTAATCAATATGTATTTCTTTAGCATGTATGGGGAACAACTTTCCCCTTGTGAGTAATAAAATCGTTACTTATAATACCTACTATGGAAGAGTTACAGTCTAATCAGGCAAGCTGTGGCTAGAAACCAGAATGATGATTTCTAGCTTGTATAATACAGGAATTGTAGAGAAGGGGAACAAGGGATTGTGTGCTGCAGTTGTCGGGGAAAACTTGAATAGTAGGTGAGACATTAATTGGGGGATAAGATTTGGATGTTGGGAGAGTGAGGTTCTTTGGATATGTTACCAAAAGCACAGATATGGGATTAAATATATGAGATGTAAGAATGGAAAGTCTGGGTTAGAAAAAATGGAGCTGTATTCTGCAAAAGGCTTTATTAGACTTAGATTCTAAACGCTGTGTTCTTTATTTAGCTCTTTCCTACATCAGGCACATTAACACCCCCACCCGTCTGGATTCCGGTTTTGTTTTTTTGTTATTTAATCTTGGAAGTGAGGCGAAGAAAAGAAATTAAACATTTAATTGAATTCATATTATATGCCAGACAATTTACTCTACAATCTCATTTTAAACTCTCATAACTCAGGGCTGGATATCCTCCATGTTATGGATGAGGAACAAGCTCCTAGAGATTATGTGGCATACTTGAGGTCAAATAGCATATGAATAAGCAGGAATGAAAATCTAGTCTGGGCTGGGCGCGGTGGCTCACGCACTTTGGAAGGCTGAGGCAGGCAGATCACCTGAGGTCACGAGTTCGAGACCATCCTGGTCAACATCGTGAAACCTCACCTTTACTAAAAATACAAAATTTAGCTGGGCATGGTAGTGTGCGCCTGTAATCCCAGCTACTTCGGAGGCTGAGGCAGGAGACTCTTGAACCCGGGAGGCGGAGGTTGCAGTGAGCCGAGATCGTGCCAGTGCACTCCAGCCTGGGCGACAGAGTGAGGCTCCGTCTCAAAAAAAAAAAAAAAAAAAAGTCTAGTCTTCTAGTCTGAAACTCTTTGCTGTAAGTGTGGTGTTTGCTGTGCTGTGGTGGGACTTTCCTGTGCTGTTTCCCAAAGTGTGTGTCATTTTTGTCTAATAAAAGTGCACGTGGTATGTGGGTACTACAATAATAGTCAAAGTTAGTAGACTAGAATAGGGCCTCTTCAGAAAAGCTTCTGAGTACTTCCATTATTTTCTGTTTACAGCATTCTGGTTCTTTCACCGTACTGAACACAAAGTATAATTTACATGTCAACCAACTAATCCTGTTCATTTTACACAATTTTAAATCTTTGCTTAAATTAAAACAAGTTCCAGGAGTGTTTCCTAAATCTTGTCCAACTGTTTACCTCAAGTACTCCTTCCTTCATAACTCATCGTAACACGCTCCAGGGTACATCCCAGCCTTTTGCTCATCTTAATTGAGTAGAACTAGTGATCACTATTCTTGCATTTTGTTTTTCTAAGAAAATATGATTTAAGACTCCTCAAGCTACAGATTTGACATTTTGTTACATTCTTAGATTCTTTCCATGTTATTTACTATTAGAATTAGTGTAGTTGATAGTTTTTTTCGTCATTCGAATTAGAAGTTTTGCATGTATGAAATCTTCTTTTGAGGCAGAGTCTTGCTTTCTTTGCCCAGGCTGGAGTGCAGTGGCGTGATCACAGCTCATTGCAGCCTTGACTTCCTGGGCTCAGTTGATCCACCCACCTCAGCCTCCAGAGTAGCTGGGACTATAGGTGTGTGCCACCACGCCCGGCTAATTTTTTATATTTTAGTAGAGATGGAGTTTTGCCGTGCTCCCCAGACTGGGCTTAGACTCCTCAGCTCAAGCAGCCTGCCCGCTTCATCCTCCCAAAGTGTTGGGATTACAGGCGTGAGGCCATGTAAAATCTGAAGTGTGTCTTAACATCCCATAGGGCTCTTAGGTGATTTGGAAGTACACTGACATGAGTATAGTCAACCTTAAAGTGATGACATCGCAAACTTTAAGCAGGCTTCAAGCAGCTGAATTAATTATGATAAAATTAAAATTGCCAAATTTGGGCAGAGATTTAATGTTTAAAAACCAGTATAATTCAGGTTAGCCATCTGAGAATGTTTTGTAACTTTCTTGGGGATCATACTGAATTTCTTTTTTTTTTTTTTTGAGACAGAGTTTTGCTCTTGTCGCCAGGCTGGAATGCAATGGCATGACCTTTGCTCATTGCAACTTCCTTCGCCTCCCAGGTTCAAGCGATTCTCCTGCCTCAGCCTCCCGAGTAGCTGGGATCACAGGTGTGTGCCACCATGCCCAACTAATTTTTGGTATTTTTAGTAGAGACGGGATTTCACCATGTTGGCCAAGGCCGGTCCTGAACTCCTAACCTCAGGTGATCCACCCGCCTTGGCCTCTCAAAGTGCTGGGATTACAGGCGTGAGCCGCCGTGCCTGGCCTGTACTGAATTTCTTTTATAGTAAACGAGTAGTATTGCTCCTGAAATGGTCTGAGTCAGGCTTTTTAGACATGCTTTTTAGTACAGAACTGATGCTTCCCAGATTATTTGTCAGTGTGATAGAGAAGGTGCGTGATAATCGTTTTAGAAAAAATTTTGCTCCATCTTTATATTTCTGAATAGTAACAAGAGAGTTGTCATGTGACTAGCAAGATATTGGGACCTTTTAGAAATCAGTAAGGCAGAATGTTGATTGTCATGAATTATCTGTGAATTGACTATGTTTAGTGATTGTCAAGCTTTTGCCTAATTTTATTCATTCCTTGGAGGTTGTCCAAGCTGAATCAGATTATTTGAAAGCCACACAATTCCTGAGCATTCTCATATGTCAGCCTTCTGCAGAAATGTCCTCAGTTATTTCATGGGGTCAGAAGTATCCAATTGAAGACTGCTTCTCACATGTAAATCTAGGCATACATTTTCTGTGATGACTCCTTTTTAAGAAAATATCCGCAAGGTAAATTTCTTAGTAAGTAGCACCTTGTAAGTTTCTCTCCAACAAACTTGCATACTATCCCCTCCAAACCATAAAAACAATTTGAGACTTTTATTTTGAGACGGAGTCTCACCTCTGTTGCCCAGGCTGGAGTGCAGTGACGCGATCTTGGCTCACTGCAACCTCCGCCTCTCGGGTTCAAGCAATTCTCCTGCCTCAGCCTCCCGAGTAGCTGGGATTACAGGCACCCGCCACCATGCCCAGCTAATTTTTGTATTTTTAGTAGAGACGGGGTTTCACCATGTTGGCCAGGCTGGTCTCGAACTCCTGACCTCAGGTGATCCACCTGCCTCGGCCTCCCAAAGTGCTGGGATTACAGGCATGAGCCACTGCTTCCAGCCAGGAAGTCTTTACATAGTAAGACATTTGAGTTTGATCCAGAGGGATGATGTTTCCTAGGAAAAAGGAAAGGTCATTGGCTAATTGATTAGCCTTTATATAAAGCAAGCTCAGGACCTTTCCAGAACCTAAGTGACTGAACTCTTTCTTTTTGAGAGACAGAGTCTTGCTCTGTTGCCCAGGGTGGAGTGCAGTGGCATGATCATAGCTCACTGTGGCCTCGGACTCCTGGGCTCAAGCGATCTTCCTGTCTCAGCTTCTGGAGTAGCTGGGACTGACTACAGGTGTGAGCCACATTTCCGGTTCTGACAGAACCTTTTTATGTCAGTGCCTGATGCTGTGCCCTTTTCTTCCCTTGGTGTGATTGCTTTTACTGTTCTTGGGCTAAGGAATTTGTTTCTGTGAGCACTCTGGTTGCAAAGTCATTGAAGTGTGATGGCTAAAAGCTCAGACTCTTAAGTTAGATTGTCTGGGTTTGAGTTTGGGTTTTACCATTGTGTGACTTTAGGAACATTACTCTTAGCTTCATTTTTCTGCCCTTAAAATCAGGATTAGGGCCGGGTGTGGTAACCCCTGCCTGTAATCCCACCACCTAGGGAGGCCGAGGCAGGTGGATCACCTGAGGTCAGGAGTTCGAAACCAGTCTGGCCAACATGGTGAAACCCTGTCTTTACTAAAAATATAAAAATTAGCCGTGCACGTTGGCGGGCACCTGTAGTCCTAACTACCAGGGAGGCTGGGGCAAGAGCATCACTTGAACATGGGAGATGGAGGTTGCAGTGAGATTGCACTTCAGCCTGGGCAACAGAGCTAGACTCTGTCTCAAAAAAAAAAAAAAAAGTTAGGGTTATGACCCTGTGTGCTTTGGTAAGAGGAACATTAATCCTGTCAGCCAGTACAGAACCTGCTCGTTTTTCCCATGGCAGATTCTGAACAGTTTGCTTTTTTCCTGACCCTGAATTTCATTAGGAGCTGTAAATTGTGCCTTGTGACTTGTCAGCCTGATAGTTGGAGACCTGCTCCTTTTATGATTTTGTACTTTGTGTTTATCAGAAACTGTTGAAGCTCAGCAGAGACTTGTTTTACTACCTGGCAAGGACAGTCTTGGGAAAATCAGGTTTACTGGGATGTTGATGTAAAGATATTAGAGGTATGAAACTAAGCTTTTTGTATTCAGGAGGCTGAGGTGGGAGGATTGCTTGAGCCCAGGAGTTGGAGACCAGCCTGGGCAACATACAAAGACTCCCGTCTCTTTAAGAGAAAAGAATAAAGTAAGCTTTTTTTGGGAGAGGGGTGAACCTCTAGGTGGAAAAAGAAATGCGTTTTAAGCAGGAGTGAACTTCTTTCCTTCTTTTCTTTTCTTTCTTTCTCTCTCTTTCTTTTTCTTTCTTTCTGTCTGTCTGTCTGTCTTTCTTGTCTTTCTGTCTGTCTTTCTGTCTTCGTTCTTTCTCTCATGGTGGCAGACGCCACCATGCCTGGGTCTCAACCACATTTTAGTATGTGAAACTTGTTTCTCTGGTAGAGTCACTGAAACCAGTTATTTCCCCTCTATTGTCACAGAAGCAAACAAAAGGATCCTCGTACAGATGCATTCAAATAAATATTCAAATCTGAGGCAATATGATTAAATCAAAGCACAACTCAAGTCAGATTCCCTGAGTTGTAGTCCACTGGCTTTGTGATCTGGAACAAGTTTAACCTTCGTGTTCTTCAGTATATGGAGATATTCTAAAATGGGATAATACTGGTACCCACTTCAGAGGTCTGTTGAGAAGATTAAGCACATTAATACAGCGAAGCATTTGGAACAGTGCCTATTTTAGCATGGGGGGTTTTATTTGTGAATAAGTCTGTTGAATGAACAACATAGTTGAAATGGGGTGTTTTATTTATGAATTAGTCTGTTGAATGAACAACATAGTTGAAAGAACACAACCACAAACCAAACCTCAGTTAACAAGTCAAGGGGAAAAACTTGTGACTCTACTGGCAGCAGCAGATGATGGGTGTCCCAGACACAAGCTGGTTCCATGTGGTGGATCTGTGTCTAGGCTATTACCATACAATGAAGGGAAACTTACTTGGAACTAAAGAGACTTAACTATGTTTAATTAACTTGTGAGGAGTATGTTTTTCAGAGTGGCGATTTTAATCACCCACCCTTGTCCCCAAACCATGAAAAGTCCCAGAAATTCGATTTTGTTACTCAAAATTACTGTAGCAAAACTGCCCGTGGATCCAAAAGAAGTGATTTCAACCATTTCAGTTTTTTGGTTCTTAAATTGCGATCCCACCTGCTGCAAACACATGACAGCCTTCCCCCACCCGTGAAATGCCCACATCCCACTGATAAAATACTTGCCGCAAAGGTGATTTCAGGAAATGCTAGTTGTGTTGAGGGCCTTTATGTGAATATAATGGTTGGAGTTCATCCTCTACTGAGGGAGGGCTGAAGGGTGTAGTTAGTCTAGAGTTTTGGATAAATCAGCTTTTCTTATATAGTTTTGGGGTACATTATCATTAGTATTATGTTTCTGTTGCTGGTGTTAAAAGGATAAAGATGACAGTGATATTGGAAGAGAGTGTCATTGTAGTCGTTATTTGTACAAACTGGTACAAAGCACTGGTCGTAGAATGTTTGGAGAGATTGAGAAGTTGACTTTCCATACTCTTGAAGGAGTGATGTGCTTGGTAGTGTGCACCTATAGTCCCAGTTACTTGGGAGGCTGAGGTGGGAGGATCACTCGAGGCCAGGAGTTTAAGGCTACATAGTGCGCTGTGATCATGGGCCTGTGAATAGCCACTGCACGACATACAGTCAGGGCAACGTAGTGAGACCCTGTCTCTTGAAGCAATAGAAGTGTCTCCTGACTCAATGCTACTTCTGTTCCTTAATCTGCTACCTTAAGGGATGCAGAGGGGGTTGGGGGAATTAAGAGGAGTCAGTGGGGTTTTAAAAATGAACAACTCCTACATACCAATAATGAAAAGACAAATAATTAAATATTTGGCAAAGTGTTTGAATAGATATTTCTCCAGAGAACATACGCAAAAGGCTCATAAGCACATGAAAAGGTGTTCAACACTATTAGTTATCAAGGAAATGCAAATCAAAACCACAAAGAGATACAGCTTCACACCCACTAGGATGACTAGTTTAAAGAATAACTAACAAGTGTTCCTGAGGACGTGGCCAGATTAGAATCCTGTGTTGCTGGTGGGAGTGTAAAAACGGTGCCGCTCCTGTAGAAAAGTTTGGGATGTCCTTCCTCAAAAAGCTAGTTACCATGTGATCCTGAAGTTCCTTCTAGGTGTATACTGAAGTGAACTGAAAGCATTTATTCATACAAAAACTTAAAGAACGTTCGTAGCAGCATTGTTTATAATAGTCCAAAAATGGAAACAACCCAAATGTTCATTAACTAACGAATGGATTTTTTTTTTTTTTTCCTGAGACCAAGTCTCGCTCTGTTGCCAGGCTGGAGTTCAGTGGCACGATCTCGGGTCACTGCAACCTCCGCCTCCCGTGTTCAAGCAGTTGTCCTGCTTCAGCCTCCCGAGTAGCTGGGATTACAGACATTCGCCTAGACATCATGGCAGCCTAATTTTTGTATTTTTAGTAGAGACGGGGTTTTGCCATGTTTTGGCCAGGCTGGTCTGAACTCCTGACCTCAGGTAATCCACCTGCCTCCCAGAGTGCTGGGATTGTAGGCGTGAGCCACCGCACCTGGCCTAATGAATGGATTTTTAAAGCATAGTATATCCATACAGTAGGTGAAGTACTGATGCATGCTACACTAGGCATGAAACTTGAGACCATGCTATGGGAAAGAAGCCAGTCACAGCCGACTCCATACGGTAGGTTGTGTTGGGAAAGAAGCCAGTCATGGGAGGCTCCATACTGTATGGCTCTGTTCGTAGGTACACCCTGTTTGATTGTGCTTCACAGATACTACATTTTTACAGAACAAATGGAAGGTTTCTGGAACCCGCTTTGAGCAAGTCTGTTGGTGCCATTTTCCAACAGCAGGTGCTCACTTCTTGTCTCTGTTCACATTTTGGTACCTTGTGCAGTATTTCAAACTTTTCTTTTTTTTTTTTGAGATGAAGTCTCACTCTGTCACCCAGGCTGGAGTGCAGTGCCACGATCTCTACTCACTACAAGCTCCGCCTCCCGGGTTCACGCAATTCTCCTGCCTCAGCCTCCCGAGTAGCTGGGACTACAGGCGCCCGCCACCATGCCTGGCTAATTTTTTATTGTATATTTAGTAGAGACGGGGTTTCACCGTGTTAGCCAGGATGGTCTCCATCTCCTGACCTTGTGATCTACCCTTCTTGGCCTCCCAAAGCGCTGGGATTACAGGCGTGAGTCCACCTCGCCCGGCCTCAAACTTTTCATTACATGTTAATGGTGGTTATCTGTGATCAGTAATCTTTGACGTTACTATTGTAATTGTTTTGGGGATCCGTGAACTGAGGGAAATTAATTGATAGATGTGTGTATTCCTTTTTTTGCTTGTTTTTTGAGACTGAGTTTCGCTCTTGTTGCTTAGGTTGGAGTGTAAGGGCGCCATCTTGGCTCACCGCAAGTTCCGCCTCCTGAGTTCAAGCGATTCTCCTGCCTCAGCGTCCCGAGTAGCTGGGATTACAGGCACGCGCCCCCATGCCTGGCTAATTTTTTTGTATTTTTAGTAGAGACAGGGTTTCTCCATGTTGGTCAGGTGGTCTCGAACTCCCGACCTCATGTGATCTGCCCGCCTTGGCCTCCCAAAGTGCTGGGATTACTGCGTGAGCCACCATGCCTGGCCTGTGTTCTTTTACTATTAATTTTTGGAGACAGGGTCTCACTCTGTCACCCAGGCAGGAATGCTCACTGCAGCCTTGACCTCCCAGGCTCCAGCAATCCTCCTGCCTCGGCCTCCTGAGAAGCTGGGACGACAGGCACACATCACCATGCCTGGCTAGTTTTTGTATTTTTTGTAGAGATAGGGTCTCACCTGTTGCCCAGGCTGGTCTTGAACTCCTAGGCTCACATGATCTTCCTGCCTTCGGCCTCCCAAAGTATTGGGATTACAGGCGTGAGCTCTTGTTTGTGTTCTGACTCCCTGTCTCTCTCCCTCCCGTTAGGCTTACCTATTACCTGAAACATAACAATATTTAAATTAGGCCGATTAACAACCCTGCAATTGCTTCTAAGTGTTTAAGAGAAAGGAAGAGTCCCAGTCTCTCACTTTAAATAAAAAGGTAGAAATGATGAAGCTGAGTCAGGAAGGCTACCTTAAAAGCCGAGACACGGTCTGAAAGCTGGGCCTCTTGCACCACAGTTGTGAATGCAAAGGAAAAGTTCTTCAAGGAGATTAAAAAGTGCTAGTCCAGTGAACACAGCAATGATGAGAAAGCAAAACAGCCTTCTTGCTGACAGAAAGTTTTGGTGGTCTGAATAGAAGATCAAACCTGCCATACTATTCCCTTAAGCCAAAGCCTAATTCAGACCAACCCTCTAACTCTCTTCAAATTTAAGAAAGCTGAGAGAGGTGAGAAAGCTACAGATAGAAAGCTGGAACCTAGCAGAGGTTGGTTAGTAAGGTTTAAGGAAAGATGCCATCTCCATTACTTAAAAAGTACAAGGTCGGCTGAGCGCGGTGGCTCACGCCTGTAATCCCAGCGCTTTGGGGGGCCGAGGCGGACGGATCACGAGGTCAGGAGTTTGAGACCAGCCTGGCCAACATGGTGAAACCCTGCCTGTACTAAAAATACAAAAAATTAGCTGGGCGTGGTGGCAGACGCCTGTAATCCCAGCTACTCGGGAAGTTGAGGCAGGAGAATCGCTTCAGCCCAGGAGACGGAGGTTGCAGTGAGCTGAGACGTTGTGACAGCACTCCAGCCTGAGCGACAAAGTGAAATTCTGTCTCAAAAAAAAAAAAAAAAAGTACAGGGTCAAGTAGCATGTGCTGATGTAGATGCTGCAGCAAATTATCCAGATTTAGCTAACATTATTGATGGTGACCACACCACTTAGATTTTCAGCGTAGACAAAACAGCCTTGTGTTAGAAGAAAATGCTGTCTAGGACTTCACTTAACTAGAGAGAAGTCAGTGTGTCTAGCTCCATAGGACAGGCTGATGCAGCTTCTTAGGGACTAATGCAGCTGGTGAATTTAAATTGAAACCAGTGCTCATTGACTGTTTGAAAAATTTGAGGCCTCTTTAAGAATCATGCTAAATTTACTCTGCCTGGTTTATAAATGGAACAGCAAAGCCTGTAAGACAGCACTTATGTTTACAGCATGGTTTTCTGAATATCTTAAGCCCACTGTTGAAGCTTGGTACTCAGAAAAAAAAAAAATTCCCTTCAATGTATTACTGCACATTGAAAATGCACCGAGGTTGGGTGCAGTGGTGCACATTTGTAATTTCAGCACTTTGGGAGGCCGAGATGGGTGGGTCAC
This sequence comes from Homo sapiens, assembly GCF_000001405.40. NCBI lineage: Eukaryota > Metazoa > Chordata > Mammalia > Primates > Hominidae > Homo > Homo sapiens. The sequence continues at coordinate 313,346 of NT_187613.1, read as the reverse complement.
ATGAGCACAAGAGTTCAAGACCAGCCTGAGGAACATGGCAAAACCCTGTCTTTACAAAAAAATAATAAAAATTAGCTGGGCGTAATGGCGTACACCTGTAGTCCCAGCTACTCAGGAGGCTGAGGTTGGAGGATCGCTTGAGCTGGGGAGGTTGAGGCTGTAGTGAACTGAGATGGTGCCACTGTATCATCTTGGGTGACAGAGTGTGACTCTGTTTCAAAACACACACACACTACCACACACTCACACACAGTACTTGGTCACCCTGGAGCTCTGATGTAGTTGTGTAAGGAGAGCAATGTTTTTTGATTTTTTATTTTTTGAGAAGGAGTCTCGCTGTGTCGCCCAGGCTGGAGTGCAGTGGCACTATCTCAGCTCACTGCAGCTCCGCCTCCCGGGTTCACACCATTCTCCTGCCTCAGCCTCCTGAGTAGCTGGGACTACAGGCGCCCGCCACCATGCCCGGCTGATTTTTTTTTGCACTTTTAGTAGAGACGAGGTTTTCACCTTGTTAGCCAGGATGGTCTCCATCTCCTGACCTCGTGATCTGCCCACCTCGGCCTCCCAAAGTGCTGGGATTACTAGGCGTGAGCCACCGCTCCCAGCCTGCAATGTTGTTTTTATGCCTGTTAACACAGCAGGTAGGCAGATCACCTGAGGTCAGGAGTTTAAGACCAGCCTCACCAACATGCTGAAACCCCGTCTCTACTAAAAATAGAAAAGTTAGCCGGGCGTGGTGGCGCCCACTTGTAGTCTCAGCTACTTGGGAGGCTGAGGCAGGAGAATTGCTTGAACCCTGGAGGCAGAGGCTGCAGTGAGCCGAGATTGTGCCACTGCCTGGGCTACAGAGCAAGACACTGTCTCAAAAACAAAAAACAAAAAGTTGTTCTGGCCAGTCGCGGTGGCTCACGCCTGTAATCCCAGCACTTTGGGAGGCCAAGGCGGGCGGATCACAAGGTCAGGAGATCGAGACCGTCCTGGCTAACATGGTGAAACCCCGCCTCTACTAAAAATACACACAAAAAAATTCACTGGGCATGGTGACGGGCGCCTGTGGTCCCAGCTACTCGGGAGGCTGAGGCAGGAGAATGGCGTGAACCTGGGAGGCGGAGCTTGCAGTGAGCCGAGATCACGCCCAGGCACTCCAGCCTGGTGACAGAGCGAGACTCCGTCTCAAAAAAAAAAAAAAAAAAAAAAAAAAGTTTTTCTGTGGGTAAATGCTGTCCAACAGCGTCAGATGCTACAGAGAAATCATGCAGGAAAGGAAAAGCCCATCAACATGGCAGACTTCATTGTCTTGCCACGGCCACTCCAGCCTTCAGCAGCCATCACCCTAAGCAGTCAGTAGCCATCAACATCAAGGCAAAAACCTTCCAACAGCAAAATATTATCACTTGCTGAAGGCTCAGATGAGCATTAGCATTTATTAGCAATAAGGTGTTTTTAAATTATGTACAGTTTAGACATAATGCTGTTGTACACTTAATAGATTACAGTGTAGTTTAAACATAACTTTTCTATGCACTGGGAAACACAAAAATTCATGTGACTTGCTTTATTGCAATATTTTTTTTTGCAGTGCTCTGGAACTGAACCCGCAGTATCTTCCAAGGTATGCCCGCACCTGAAATGTGCATAAGAGACAAGTGTGTAGAGGCGGAAAATAGATTGGTGGTTGACCGGGCTGGGGTTCGGGTACATGGGAATTGATGGTTAATGGGTTTGGGGCTTTTCTTTTTGAAGTGATGAAAATCTAAAATTATGATGATTGCAGAATTCTGTGAATATACTAAAAACCATTGAATGGTACAGTTTATTTATTTTTTGGAGACGGAGTCTCTCTCTGTTACCCAGGCTGTAGTGCAGTGGAGCCATCTCGGGTCACTGCAACCTCCGCCTCCCGGGTTCAAGCAAATCTCTTGCTTCAGCCTCCTGGTTAGCTGGGACTACAGGCGCCTGCCACCATGCCCAGCTAATTTTTGTATTTTTAGTAGAGACGGGGTTTTACTATGTTGGCCAGGCTGTTCTTGATCTCCTGACCTCATGATCCACCCACCTCGGCCTCCCAAGGTTTACAGGGGTGAGCCCCTGCTCCCGGCCGAATAGTACACTTTAAATGGGTGAATTGTTAGGTAGGGGAATTATATATAAATAAAGGTATTATTAAAGGGATAATTGTTGCTTCTATAATTTTACCACACAGTCTGTGCATTGTTTTGTGTATATGTAAAAATGAAAGCATTTATGCTTGAATCTGGAACAGTAGAGTATCACTGAGTGTTACAAATATATTTCTCTTTGCATTATAAAAATACTAAGTCTTCGTTGTTGAAAATTTGTAAAGCACAGAAATTTGAACAAAATTAAATCATAAGGAATGATATTCGAGATATGTAACTTAAATTTTTGGTAGTATTTGATGTCTGCATAGTTTTTCTGTATGTAATATTGTAAAGCCTTAAAAGAATTAATGGCACTGTTTTTGTGTAGCTGGGTTACTTAAGATTTACTTTGCGATCAGTTTAGAAAGTTTAATTACAGGCTTACCTCTGAGTTATGTTTGACTTGCTGATTTTTGAGAATTAAACTAGTATGGAGGTACGATTACCTATTCCACTGCTTCTAAATTTAGACTGTTTCGTGACTGGTTTAGAAAACAAAATTGGGCATGTTTTAGATGAATGCTTTCAGACTCCTACAAATGAATTAATGAGTGGTCTTATTACCATATTGTAATACTTTTTTTTTTTTTTTTTTGAGACAGAGTCTCACTCTGTCGCCTAGGCTGGAGTGCAATGGCGCGATCTCAGCTCAGTGCAACCCCTGTCTCCGGGGTTCAAGCGATTCCCCTGCCTCAGCCTCCCGAGTAGCTGGCACTATAGATGCCTGCCACCATGCCTGGCTAATTTTTGTATTTTTCTTTTTCTTTTTTTTTCCTTTTTTTGAGATGGAGTTTCGCTCTTGTTGCCCAGACTGGAGTACAGTGGCGCGATCTCCACTCAGTGCAACCTCCGCCTCCCGAGTTCAAGCAATTCTCTCGCCTCAGCCTCGAGTAGCTGGGATTACAGGCATGTGCCACCACGTCTGGCAAATTTTTTTGTATTTTTAGTTTCTCCATGCTGGTCAGGCTGGTCTCGATCTCCCGACCTCAGGTGATCTGCCTGCCTCGGCCTCCCAAAGTGTTGGGATTACAGGCGTGAGTCACCGTGCCTGGCCTAATTTTTATATTTTTAGTAGAGACGGGGTGTCACCATGTTGGCCAGGCTGGTCTTGAACTCCTGACCTCAGGTGATCCACCTGCCTCAGCCTCCCAAAGTGCTAAGATGACAGGTGTGAGCCACAGCACCCAACATGTCATCCTTCTTTAATGGTTCAGAATTGCATTTAAAAAATCAGCTTGAGGTGTACAGTTAAACGTGCCACTTTTACATGTACAATTCTGTGACCTGTCCTTTGCACAAAAGCCCCTCAGTTCACCTCTGTACCTTGATAACCATTTGCTTTCTGTCTTTTTAGTTTGTGTTTTTTGCAATTTGATATAAATGGAATGATAAAATCCTTTTAATCTGACTCTTTTCACTTAATATGATGTTTTTCAGATTCTTCCATATTGTTGCTTGTATCAGTTAATTATTTTTCTCCCCTCCCGTCTCCTCTTCTCTTTCTGGACACAGAGTCTCTCGCTTTGTCATCCAAGCTGGAGTACAGCGTTAGGATTATACAAAGTAATTGTGGTTTTTGCTGGCAAAATGCGCAATTACTTTTGTACCAACCTAATAGCTCACTGCAGGCCTGAATTCCTGGGGTCAAGCAGTTCTCTTGCCTTAATCTCCTGAGTAGTTGAGACCGCAGGCACACACCACCACACCCAGCTAATTTTTGTAGAGGCAGAGTCTCACCATGTTGCCCAGGTTGGTCTCAAACTACTGGGCTCAAGTAATCCTCCTGTCTTGGCCTCCCCAAATGCTGGGATTACAGATGTGAGCCACTGTGCATGGACAGTTAATTCTTTATTTTTGAGTGGTATCCCATCTTACATATGTGAACATCAGTGTGCTTATACATTTCCCCTCTGGATGCACATTTGAGGGGTTTCCACTTTTTGGCTATTATGAATAGAGTTGCTGTGAGTGAGTGTGTAAAAGTCTTTGTAAAGATTATTTTTCTTCTGGATGATGCATAGAATTGGGATTGCTGAGTCATATGGTACATGTTTATTAAAACATTGCCGAATATTTTTCGAAGAGACTTTACAAAATATGGCTTAATTTTTTTTATATTCCCGAAAGGATTAATTTTTGAAACATATTTTCCTGGATACATTAGGCACACTCCCCTTAATTTAATAGTGTTTTGGTTTTTGTTTTGTGTTTTTTTTTGAAACGGAGTCTCACTCTGTCACCCAGGCTGGAATGCAGTGGTGCAATCTCAGCTCACTGCAACCTCTGCCTCCCAGGTTCAAGCAGTTCTCCTGCCTCAGCCTTCCTGGTAGCTGGGATTACAAGCGTGCACCACCATGCCCAGCTAATTTTTGTATTTTTAGTAGAGACGGGTTTCACCATGTTGGCCAGGCTGGTCTCGAACTCCTGACCTCAGGCGATCCACCCACCTTGGCCTCCCAAAGTGCTGAGATTACAGGTGTGATCCACCGTGCCCGTCCAATTTAGTAGTGTTTTATGAAGTCACCATCTCTTTCATACCTATTAGTTAAGGTATGCTTATGCTTAGGGTGTTAATGAAAGCTAAGGATGCTTATTTAAATGCAGATTCTTTCTTTTGGTTTTTTTTGAGATGGAGTCTGCTCTGTTGCCCCAGGTGGCATACAGTGGGGCGATCTCAGTTGCAATCTCTGCCTCCTGGGTTCAAGCAATTCTGCTGCCTCAGCTTCCCAAGTAGCTGTAATTACAGGCGCGCACCACCAAACGCAGCTAATTTTTGTATTTTTAGTAGAGACCGTTTCACCACGTTGGCCAGGCTGGCCTTGAATTCGTGACCTCAAATGATCTGCCCACCTTGGCCTCCCACAGTTCTGGGATTATATGCATGAGCCACTACATCCAGCCTATTTTTATTTTTATTTTTATTTTATTTATTCTATTTTTTTTTTTTTGAGGTGGAGTCTCTGTTGCTGGGCTGGAGTGCAGCGGCATGATCTTGGCTCACTGCAATCTCCACCTTCTGGGTTCAAGCGATTCTCCTGTCTCAGTCTCTAGAGTACCTGGGACTACAGGCGTGCATCACCACGCCCAGCTAATTTTTGTATTTTTAGTAGAGACAGTGTTTCACCATGTTGGCCAGGATAGTCTTTATCTCTTGACCTGGTGATGTGCCACCTCGGCCTGCCAAAGTGCTGGGATTTACAGGCATGAGCCACTGTGCCCAGCCTCTGTTTTTATTTTTTAGAGACAGGGTCTCGAACTCCTGAGCTCGAGTGATTCTCCTGCCTCAGCTCTCAAAGTGCTAGGGGTATGAGCCACTTACTCCTGGCCCTAAAATGCAGATTCTTGAGTCTCATCACCAAAGATTGAAACGTGGGTAATGTTGGAGAGCCACATGGTAATATGGCATCAAAAATAAGTTTTTATTAATGTATTTATTCAGTTACTATTTCTTGTGCTGTTTGTGGCGCTTTGCATTCACACGCCGTTGTGTTTCCCTATGCTTGCGGTAGATGCCAAGGCTTTTCTGGGCCCCTTTCTTTGCTCGCCACCTAGTGGTAACAAGTAGGAATCATCAGAAGTTTTACCAATGAAGGAGCTTCATACGAGGAAGGATAGAAAACATCCAAAGTCTGTTGGTGGCCAACCATATACTCCGTATATTTTTGCTGTATGAACAAATTCCCCTTCCTTTTGTATTTTTGGAAATACTATTTATTTGTGAGACAATACATTTTAGAACCTGTAAATTCTTAATCTTTCTCTTAAACTGACAGCTCATTTTTTTTTGCTGGAAAATAGTTAGGTGTGCCTAATTACCTTATTTAATGAGAGGTGCTTTCAGACCACACTAAATTATATTAGATAGTATATGAAGTCTTTCTCACTCCACCTAACTACCTTCTGGAGTCTTTGTATTGGCTCTTAGTTTGGTTTCCTTTACATGTTTTTGGCTTTTTACTCATATTAGTTTTGATGATTATGAAATTATTTTTGTTAAAATGTTTTTTTCGCAGTAGCTTGACAGAAAAAAACTACTTTGAAAGGAATATGTTAAGAAAACTTCAAATTTGTAAGGTCTGACTTTTCCTTTTCCCATACAGAAATGGTGGAGTCAATGAAGAAAGTAGCAGGGATGGATGTGGAGCTGACAGTTGAAGAAAGAAACCTCCTATCTGTTGCATATAAGAATGTGATTGGAGCTAGAAGAGCCTCCTGGAGAATAATCAGCAGCATTGAACAGAAAGAAGAAAACAAGGGAGGAGAAGACAAGCTAAAAATGATTCGGGAATATCGGCAAATGGTGAGATTGTTGTGCCATCATCCCCCCTTATCCACAGTTTGAGTTACCTGTAGGACGGTACACTTAAGATTTTGAGAGAAAAGGAGACTACATTCATATAACTTGTATTACAGTATGTTATAATGTTTCTGATATTGATCTTTGTGCCTGGTTTATAAGTTAAACTTACCCGTGGCTATGCATGAGGACAAAACATAGTCTGTATCAGGTTTGGTATTTTCCATGGTTTCATCACATCCACTGGCAGGTCTCAATGGATCCCTCTTGGATAAGGGGGAACTATTGTATTTTCAAGCAAAATGATGACTGTTTTTTAAAAAAATATGGTGGGTTGGCCAGGCGCGGTGGCTCAGGCCTGTAATCCCAGCACTTTGGGAGGCTGAGGTGGGCGGATCACGAGGTCAGGAGATCGAGACCATCCTGGCTAACATGGTGAAACCCCGTCTCTACTAAAAATACAAAACATTAGCTGGGCGTGGTGGCGGGAGCCTGTGGTCCCAGCTACTCGGGAGGCTGAGGCAGGAGAATGGTGTGAATCCGGGAGGCGGAGCTTGCGGTGAGCCGAGATCGCACTGCTGCACTCCAGCCTGGGTGACAGAGCGCGAGACTCCATCTAAAAAAAAAAAAAAGCACCCAAAAACCAATATATTGGGTTAATTTGTCTGATTCCTCTTTTTTTTTCCCTGAGGATTATTTAATGAAGTTATTTTACTTACTGTGGGTGTATATACATATATAAAATGTTTCTTATTGTAGGTCTTGTTAAAAAAAAGTTGGACAGCCATCACTGTAATGCAGCAGTTTTCAATTAGAGGTGCTTTTGTACTTCAGAGAACGTTTAACAATGTCTAGAAATACTTTTGATTGTCACAACTTCTGGAGGGTGTTCCTAGCATCTAGTGGGGTGGGGACTGGGGTGCTGCTAACCATTCTACTGGGCACAGCACGGGCCCCACAACAAACTGTCGGGAGTGCTGCTGTTGAGTAACCGATTCTAGTAGAAGAGACAGGCACGTAAATACAGGAAAGAACAGGGAAGAGAATTACAGGGCAGGTGGAAAGTGAGGTTGGTTGGGGGAGGGAAGGGTGGGGGAACCACAGTTACTGACTCGCCAGCTGTACTGGGCACTGTCCTGAGTAGAGAAATATTTTTGTTACATGTATTTGTGCAAGGTAGTACATGAAATCTTTAAAATGGCACTGGAAGGGGGAGGTATTATCCCAACTATGAATGCACAAACCAGGGTTTTGGGTGTTTGACATACCTGAGGTCACATAGAAAGTTGTGAGCTGGGGCCTTCCGTGGTGGCTCATGCCTGTAATCCCAGCACTTTGGGAGGCCAAGGCGGGCAGGTACCTGAGGTGAGGAGTTCGAGAGCAGCCTGACCGACATGGTGAAACCCCGTCTCCACTAAAAATACAAAAATTAGCCAGGCATGGTGGCGGGCACCTGTAATCCCAGCTACTCGGGAGGCTGAGACAGGAGAATCGCTTGAACCCAGGAGGTGGAGGTTGCAATGAGCCAACGTCGAGCCACTGCACTCCATCCAGCCTTGGCAACAAGAGGGAAACTCTGAATCAAAGAAAGAAAAAGTAAAAAATAAAGAGTCCAGATGTCCTGATGAGTCCCTAAATAGAAATAATAAGAGAAGAGGAACTGAAAAAGGAAGCCACGGGCCAAGAGTGGAGTGTTGCAATTCAGACTTCTAGTATGGAGCAGCATGGTCATGGGTGTGGACAAGTGAAAGTCTAGGAGTAGAGAGCAAAGAACTCTGTTGAATGGAACATGGCTGCACCATACCTTGGTGTGATCTCAGGTATTGGGTGGGTTTGCTGTAGATACTCAGTGAATCTGGGAGAAGGGTGTAGAGATCTATTGATGACAAAAACTGAGAAATAGAATGTAGATCATCAGCTTGTGAGGAGGAAGAGTTTGGAGTAATAGAGCAGTCATTGAGTATGCAAGGAGCTAGGAGAACTTAGAAGTCTTCCTTCTCCTAGACCAGTCTCTATTGGAAAAGCTGTCAGGGATGTCGTTTATTCAGAAAGTAGTTTTGCTTGGGATAAGGATGTGATTATAGAAGAAAAAGAGAGAATTTTCTGCAGTGAAACGGAGGTTCCAGGGGCACGGAGAGGACCCTCATGAAAGGTTCAGCAGTAGTGCTGCATGAGTTAATAGCAAACAGGAAGCAAGCTGAGGATGTGCGTTGAGAGGTGGTGTGCGTGTTCAGCATGATCAGTGGATAGAGATGGGTGGCAGTAGCTACTTTGGTAGATAGGTTTTCGGTGTTTTAATAGTTACGGATCTCTGCCACTAAAGGAATTGCCTGGTGAATGTTGTTAAGGATGTGAGTGCTGAAGGCAAACTGCCTGGGTTTAAATTTTGATTCTGTCCCTTGCAGCCTGCCTGGGTTCAAATCCTAGCTCTGCTTATTAAATTCTTATTTAATTGTTGATCTTAGAGCAATGTCTTTACGTTGCTACCTTGTGAAAGAAGGTAATTCATGTAATTGACCAGCATTTACCAAGAAGCATCAGTGTTCAGTTTTAGTCATTGGTAATTCTGTAGCTGTACTGTGGTACTGTGAAGGGGGTGTGGGGGCTGGCGTGTGTGCGTGCCTGCATGTGTGTGTGTAACAATAGGCAGCATGCAGAAGGGAAAAGATACTTTTTATAACCTAGAGGCAGCTTTTCTCTGCTTTTGTGTCAAGAAGGAAGAAGGGAGTTTGGAGAGGGATACAAATTCTTTTTAATACTAAGCTCTCTACCTCAAAACCAGAGATAGAATATGTAATAATTTGTAGAATTTCTAGACTTAATCTGATTTAAAAAAAATTTTTTTTTTTTTAGGTTGAGACTGAGCTAAAGTTAATCTGTTGTGACATTCTGGATGTACTGGACAAACACCTCATTCCAGCAGCTAACACTGGCGAGTCCAAGGTTTTCTATTATAAAATGTAGGTTCTATACTAGAAGGGAAAATGTAAGATTGAAAGTTGGTCCTTTTAGAACCATAACTTTGTTCTATGTAGGTTTTCAACTTTTATTTAAGAATAATTGTTCAATGTTAGAAGGATAGTTAATATTGTAATGAAAAGGTGGTTGGGCTATTATGAAAATGTATTAGCTTTTGCTTATTTATATTCTTTTGTTTTTGTGAGACCTATCCCATTCCCCTCCCCCAAACGGCATACATTTCACAGTGCTTAGTGTTATATATAGACATTTTATTTTATGATTAATAAACTGTCATGCCATTCCTTGGAACCACTTGCTTGTTTAATTCTGGTCTATCAGGTGATAATTTTATTAATTTTTAGAGGCTCCTCAGTTAATTTCCTGGGATTTTTGCTTATATTTAGTAATATGAAATGTCTAAGGAAAAAAATGAAACGAAGCCAGTTATTCCTGAGAGTGTTTAAAATTATTGAAGTACACCTAATTGTTACATATATTTTTGTCACATTTTATATAATATAGAACAATTTTAGCTTATTTTCCTTTAAAAATCGTTCCTAGTTTAAATTTTTTTTTTTTTTTTAATTTTGGTTTTGTTTTAGGAAAGGGGACTACCACAGGTATCTGGCAGAATTTGCCACAGGAAACGACAGGAAGGAGGCTGCGGAGAACAGCCTAGTGGCTTATAAAGCTGCTAGTGATATTGCAATGACAGAACTTCCACCAACGCATCCTATTCGCTTAGGTCTTGCTCTCAATTTTTCCGTATTCTACTACGAAATTCTTAATTCCCCTGACCGTGCCTGCAGGTAAGTTGTGGGGAAGAACAGCAGCGCTCAGCGTGAAAGTTAAGGGGGGCGCTGTTTGGGTTTTCCGTGTTGTTTCTTGGGCCTGTCTTTGTAGACTTGGCTGCATAGTAATTCTTTTGGCTCTTACTGAAACTACTTTGGATAGTATTAAAACAGACCTGTCTCAACCCACTAGCATAGCAGTCAGCATAATTATTTTGATGTGGGATATTTTTGTTGCTGGTAGATTGAAATCTAACATGTTAAAATGAGTAGAGGAAGGAAATGAGAGGAATTAGAATTATTTTAATTTTTGTTATATTAGTTTTCAGTCTTTTTTTAAATTTGAGACCATGTCTCACTCTGTCTCCCAGGCTAGAGTGCAGTGGCGCCATCTCAGATCACTGCAGCCTTCACCTCCTGGGTTCAAGTGATTCTCCTGTCTCAGCCTCCTGAGTAACTGGAGTTACAGGGGCCTGCCACCATGCCCAACTAATTTTTTTTGTATTTTTAGTAGAGACGGTGTTTTCACCATTTTGGCTAGGCTGGTCTGGAACTCCTGACCTCAAGTGATCCGCCCGCCTTCGCCTCCCAAAGTGCTGAGATTACAAGCATGAGTCACCACACCCAGCCAGTGTTCTGTTTCTATGGGCATGTTTTTAATAGTTACTCTCGTAGCAAACATAATTTTATATTTTCTGTTTTAGCATAAACAAGTTTCAGTCTTACTAATGTGTGTTAAACTGTTCCCCCATTTATACTTCAGCTTGTTCCCAGTTTTTGATAATGTAGATAAATATGTAAGGAATATTTATACGTACATAACTTTTTACTTTTAAAAAGTTGTGATAGCCTGGGTGCAGTGGCTCACGCCTGTAATCCCAGCACTTTGGGAGGCTGAGGTGGGTGGGTCACCTGAGATCAGGAGTTCGATACCAACCTGACCAACATGGTGAAACTCTGTCTCTATTAAAAATACAAAATTAGCCGGGTGTGGTGGTGCATGCCTGCAATCCCAGTTACTCGGGAGGCTGAGACAGGAGAATTGTTTGAACCCAGGAGGCAGAGGTTGCGGTGAGCCTCGATTGCACCAGTACACTGTAGCCTGGGTGACACAGTGAGACTTTTTTTCAAATCTCTCTCTCTCTCTCTCCCCCTCTCTCCCCCCCTCCCCCTCCTCCCCCCCTCCCCCTCCCCGTCTCCCTCTCTCTCCCCGTCTCCCTCTCCCTCTCGCCTGGGCGACAAAGCGAGACTTTTACACACACACACACACACACACACACACACACACACACACACAACAATTTAGTGGCACCGAATACATTGACAGTGTTGTGTAATCACCACTATTTGAAAACTTTCTCTTCACCCCACACAAAGCGAATTATAGCCATTAAACAATCAATAACTTCATTTCCCCTCTCCCTAGCTGCTAGTAACTTTTATTTTACGTTGTCACTATGAATTTGGCCCATTCTAGATACCTCATGTAAGTGGGATCATATAATATTTGTCCTTTTGTGGCTGTCTTTATTTCATCTAGCGTAATGTTTTTATCCATGTAAAAGCATGGATCAGAGCTTCAGTCCTTTTAGTGACTGAATTTACACAATTCATTTTATGTATTTTGCACACATTGTTTAGTCATTAAACTTTTGGTGGTCAGTGGGTTTCCACCTTTTCCCTATGGTGAGTACAATGCTGCTATGAAAATGGGTGCACTAAGTATTTGCTTGAGTCCTTGTATTTAACTTCACCTTGAGGTGGAATTGGGACTGAAAATTCTGTGGGTAACTTTTTTTTCCGGACAGGATCTTGTTCTGTCTCTGCAGTTGTGCACTCATAGCTCACTGCAGCCTTGGCTTCCTGGGCTCAGCCGATTCGCCTACCTGAGCCTTCCAAGTAGCTGTCACTAGAGGTGGATGCCACCATACCTGGCCTTTTCTTTTCCTTTTTTTTTTCTTTTTTCTTTTTTTTGAGGGAGAGCCTGGCACTGTCACCCAGGCTGGAGTGCAGTGGCGTGATCTTGGCCCACTGCAACCTCTGCCTTCCAGGTTCAAGCGATTCTCCTGCCTCAGCATCCAAAGTAGCTGGGATTATAGGCGCCTGCCACCATGCCTGGCTAATTTTTTGTATTTTTAGTAGGGATGGGGTTTCACAGTGTTGGCCAGGCTAGTCTCGAACTCCTGACCTCGTGTGATCTGCCCGCCTCGGCCTCCCAAAGTTCTGGGATTACAGGTGTGAGCCACTGTGCTTGGCCAGCCCTTTTTTTTTTTTTTTTTTAAGATGGAGTCTCGCTCTGCTGGCCAGGCTGGAGTACAGTGGTGCGATCGCAGCTCACTGCAACCTCCACCTCCCAGATTCAAGCGATTCTGGTGCTTCAGCCTCTCAAGTAGCTGGGATTACAGGCATGTGCCACCATGCTTGGCTAATTTTTGGGGGCATTTTTAGTAGAGACGAGGTTTCACTATCTTGGTTAGGCTGGTCTCAAACTCCTGACCTCAGCCTCCCTCCCAAAGTGCTGGGATTACAGGCATGAGCCACTGCGCCCGGCCAATTTTTAAATTTTTTTTGGGCTGCGTGCAGTGGCTCACGCCTGTAATCCCAGCACTTTGGGAGGCCGAGGAGGGCAGATCACGAGGTCAGGAGATCGAGACCATCGTGGCTAACGTGGTGAAACCCCGTCTCTACTAAAAATACAAAAAATCAGCCGGGCGTGGTGGCGGGCGCCTGTAGTCCCAGCTACTCGGGAGGCTGAGGCAGGAGAATGGCGTGAACCTGGGAGGCGGAACTTGCAGTGAGCCAAGATCACGCCACTGCACTCCAGCCTGGGCGACAGAGCGAGACTCCGTCTCAAAAAAAAAATTTTTTTTTGTTGTTTTGTTTTGTAGAGGCAGGGTCTGGCTGTGTTGCCGAAGCTGGTCTTGAAATCCTGGCCTCAAGTAATCCTCTTGCCTTAGCCTCCCAAAATGCTGAGAATACAGGCCTGAGCCACTGCACCAGGCCCTTTTGCCCATTTTTGAATTCATGTTTTTTTCGTTTGTTAAGTGTTGAGAGTTCATTATTCCAGATAGTAACCTCTTAGCAAGTAAATGGTTTGTGAGTATTTTCTCCTCTTCTGTAGGTTGGCATTTTGTT
>NW_003315952.3:300000-375691 GCF_000001405.40 Homo sapiens | reverse complement strand
TGGTGTTTTCCGAGCTTGGCCTAAGGACTCTGTTCTTGAAGCTCTGTCTGTATATTAAGGTATTCTCATCTACATTCACAGCTGCAATCATGTCCTACATGCTGATGACTTCTAATTTTCTATCCTTAGCCAACAGCCCATCTATCCAGCATCCAACCCAGTCTCCCATCTTGCTCACACATCCCTGGCACAGGGACTGTTGGCTGCTGTGTTGGTTGTTGTGTTTGTTTGAGTTCCCCCAAATGCAAACTCTAAGACTAGGAATTGAGTGCAGAGTTTATCTGCGAGAGGGTCTTAGGAAACACGGGTGGAGGAGTGGGCAAGTGAGACAGGGAAGGCAGGACAGTTAATAAAGTTTTCATTATCCTGCCAGCTACCTCTGTGCTCAACCACAGCTCAGTCCTCTGGGAGGACTCTGGGAGGCGGTGCCAAAACATGCCAGTGATCCCAAGTGAGGGGCAACGAAGCTTCTCAGAAGCTGGGTGTCACCCACCACCTCTCAGAAGCTGACCACCACCTCTCAGCAGCTGGGTATCACCCACCACCTCTCAGAAGCTGGGTATCACCCACCACCTCTCAGAAGCTGACCACCACCTCTCAGAAGCTGGGTATCACCCACCACCTCTCAGAAGCGGGGTGTCACCCACCACCTCTCAGAAGCGGGGTGTCACCCACCGCCTCTCAGAAGCTGGGTGTCACCCACCGCCCCTCAGAAGCTGGGTATCACCTCTCAGAAGCTGGGTATTATCCACCACCTCTCAGAAGCTGGGTATTATCCACCACCTCTCAGAAAACGTGGCTTCTAGAGGCACTAACTCTGTAGCACTTCTGGCTTCTTCTGCGTGGGCCAAAAATGCAAGTGGAGAAAAGCCTCAGGCAGAGTCACAGGTGTCTGGAAGAAGCTTTCTGCAGGTAGAGGGGAATGGCGGGGGATGGAGGTGGAGAAGACATTGTCAGCTGCAATTGCCCACCCAACCTTTGCCCCCTTCCTGCAGAGCTCTGATCTTGTTCTGGTCCCTGTGCCCACCTACAGCCGCCCCGTATCTTCACAAGAGAATCCTGATTGGCTGGAGTCATTATGGTCATCCCATTCTCTTTGTCAGTAATATGTTTGAGAAATAACCTGTTACCCACTCCTGGCCAATTAGAGTTCAAGATCATCTACCTGAGGCTCCAGGGAAAGGTTTGCTCCTTCATCAAAGGGAGGAGGAGACACGCTCCTCTTCTGCTGCTGGGCACGGTCGGCCATGGATGTGTTGCCTGGGTCTGTGGCAAACATCTCGCTACAGTGACAGGAGCTAATTGGAAGGCAGAGCCAGTGTCCTGAGGACGGCAGGATCTCTGAGAACCCCAGTCCTTAAGATATACCCAAGCTTGGCACCAACTGAATGTTTAAGAAAGAAAAAAAAAGACACATCCAAGTGAAATTCTTGCATATGGGCACCAGGAGCCATCAAAAATGTTCATATCAGCATAGCTCATAGTAGCAAAAAGCTGGAACCACTCAGTGATATAGTCACACATGGAATATTATACATCAGCAAAAGGATGATCTATGCCCCCACAACACGGATGAACCTTGGAAACAATATTAAATTAAAAAAAGGGGCCAGGCACGGTGGCTCACGCCTGTAATCCTAGCACTTTGGGAGGTCGAGGCAGATGGATTGCCTGAGCTCAGGAGTTCGAGGCCAGCCTGGGCAACATGGTGAAACCCCATTTCTACTAAAATACAAAAACTTAGCCGGGCATGGCAGCGTATGCCTATAATCAGCTGCTCGGGAGGCTGAGGCAGGAGAATTGCTTGAACCCAGGAGGGGGAGGTTGCAGTGAGCGGAGACTGTGCCACTGCACTCCAGGCTGGGTGACAGTGCGAGACTCCATCTCTAAAAAAGAAAAAAAAAGGACGTCTGTTTAACACAAATGTATTTATGATACAACGATATTTTACAGTGCAACAAAAAGTGTAAACTGTAGGGCAGGGACAGTGGTGACCTCTTGGTGGGGGTTGGGGAGTCGGGGAAGGGAGGGGTGCACAGGACGATGAGACGGTTGGTTATGTTTGACTTCTTGGTTTGGATAGCGGGTTCATGCTTGTTTAAGGAAAAGATAAAGAAAGAAAAAAACCTGGATCTTTTTTTCGTTGAGGCCCAGGCTGGAGTGGAGTGGCGCCATGTCGGCTCACTGCAGCCTCCGCCTCCCGGGTTCAAGTGATTCTCCTGCCTCAGCCTCCCAAGTAGTGGAGTGCAATGATTGCACCACTGTACTCCAGCCTGGGTGACAGAGTGAGACCCTGTCTCAAAAAAAAAAAAAAAAAAAAAAAAAAAGAAGGTTACCAATACAATCAGGGGCAATGTCGTTCAAGATTTGGAAATGGGCAAAAGAGAATGCTGGGTGTCCTTTCTGTGGAATGCCAGGTGTTGCCCTCCTAACTCTTGGGGATTATGATTCTATGGGGTGCACCTTGACTTACCTTTCTAATAACTAGGCTATTTTACAACTCCATAGGGATAAAAGCTAAGCTGTAAAAAAACTTACAGTAATGCAAGTGATTCTTACCTACAAGAATACAAATGAATTTTGTCTGGCAAAGATACAATTTTGTCTGGCAAAGATACAATTCTA
Organism: Homo sapiens; assembly: GCF_000001405.40. Taxonomy (NCBI): domain Eukaryota; kingdom Metazoa; phylum Chordata; class Mammalia; order Primates; family Hominidae; genus Homo; species Homo sapiens. Next base: position 373,066 of record NW_003315952.3, on the reverse strand, counting down.
TCCTGGAGAAAAGATAATCTCAAAACATTACATTTTATTGTACTGTAGGATATTATGGGTGTTAACCACTTTGCATTTATTAGCAACTTCATTTCAGCATTTCTCTAATATATTTGGCCTTGAACAACATGGGTTTGAACTGTGTGGGTTCACTTACATGTGGATTTTTTTCAATACATATATTGGAAAATTTTTTGGAGATTTGTAACAATTTGAAAAAACTAGAAGATGAACTGCTTAGCCTGGAAATATTGAAAAAAGGAAGAAAAAGGTAGGTCATGAACGCATAAAATATATGTAGCACTAGTGTATTATTTTAAGAGATAGGGTCTTGCTCTGTTGCCCAGGCTAGAGTGCAATGAAACAATCACTCACTGCAGCCTCCAACTCCTAAGGTCAAGCTGTCCTCCTGCTTCAGCCTCCCAGGTAGCTGGGACTACAGTTGCAGGCCACCACACCTGGCTAATTTTTACATCTTTTATTTTATTTTATTTTTGTAGAGACAGGGTCTCACTATGTTGAGACTCCATCTCAAAAAAAGAAAAAACAAAGGGAAAGAACTCAGCGATATAGTCATATGTGGGATGTCAAATATCAGCAAAAGAATGAACGGTGCCCCCACGACATGGGCACCAGGAGCTGTCAAGAATAGTTCCTATCAAGGAAAATTCTAGAAAATTTTCTCTACAAGAGACAGAGTCTTGCTATGTTTCTCAGGCTGGTCTTGAACACCAGGCCTGAAGCAATCCTCCTGCCTTGGCCTCCCAAAGCACTAGGATTATAGGCATGAACCACTGCACCTAGCCCAATACTAGTTTTTTAAAATCATTTACCACCATAAAATATACATACATCTACTTTAAAAAGTTAAAATGTATCAAAACTTACCCACACATTTACAGACCATGCCTGCAGTCAAGAGAAACATAAACAAATTTAAAGATGCAGTATTAAATATAACTGTATAAAGTTCACTGCAACACATCTTGGACTACTGTGATAATTTAAAGATGCAGTGTTAAATTGTAACTGTATAAAGTTCACTGTAGCCGGGCGTGGTGGCTCATGCTTGTAATCCCAGCACTTTGGGGGGCCAAGGCAGGTGGATCACCTGAGGTCAGGAGTTCCAGACCAGCCTGGCCAATTTGGTGAAACCTGCTCTCTACTAAAAATACAAAAAAAATTGGCTGGGCATGTTGGCAGGCACCTGTAATCCCAGCTACTCGGAAGGCTGAGGCAGGAGAATTGCTTGAACCTGGGAGGCAGAGGTTGCAGTGAGCTGAGGTTGCGCCATTGCACTCCAGCCTGGGCAACAAGAACAAAACTCCATCTCAAAAACAAAAAAAAAAAGATAACTGTAACACGTGCTGCACTACTGTGATAATTTAAAGATGCAGTGTTAAATCATAACTGTATAAAGTTAATTGTAACACATACCGCATTACCGTGATAACTTAAAGATGCAGTGTTAAATCGTAACTGTGTAAAGTTAATTGTAACACATACCGCATTACCGTGATAATTTAAAGACGCAGTGTTAAATCGTAACTGTATAAAGTTAACTGTAACACATACCGCATTACTGTGATAATTTAAAGATGCAGTGTTAAATCGTAACTGTATAAACTTCACTGTAACACATACCACATTACTGTGATAATTTAAAGATGCAGTGTTAAATCATAACTGTATAAACTTCACTGTAACACATACCACATTACTGTGATAATTTAAAGATGCAGTGTTAAATCGTAACTGTATAAAGTTAATTGTAACACATACCGCATTACTGTGGTAATTTAAAGATGCAGTGTTAAATCATAACTGTATAAACTTCACTGTAACACATACCACATTACTGTGATAACTTAAAGATGCAGTGTTAAATCGTAACTGTATAAAGTTAATTGTAACACATACCGCATTACCGTGATAATTTAAAGATGCAGTGTTAAATCGTAACTGTATAAAGTTCACTGTAACACATACCGCATTACCGTGATAATTTAAAGATGCAGTGTTAAATCGTATCTGTATAAAGTTCACTGTAACACATACCGCATTACCGTGATAATTAAAAGACGCAGTGTTAAATCGTAACTGTATAAAGTTCACTGTAACACATACCGCATTGCTGTGATAATTTAAAGATGCAGTGTTAAATCGTAACTGTATAAAGTTCACTGTAACACATACCGCATTACCGTGATAATTTAAAGACGCAGTGTTAAATTGTAACTGTGTAAAGTTCACCGTAATATTGCACTACTGTGATAATTTAAAGATGCAGTGTTAAATTGTAACTGTATAAATTTCACTGTAACACATACTGCCCTACTGTGATAATTTTGTAGCCATCTCCTGTTGTTATTTTAATCAGCCCAAGTGTTGCAAATATCCCCTTAAAATGTCATGTGACAAAGTAAATTATCTAGGCGGTGGCTCATGCCTATAATCCCAGTGCTTTAGGAGCCCGAGGAAGGAGGATCACTTGAGGTTGGGAGTTTGAAACCAGAAATTTTTTCTACAAAAGAAAAATTAAAAAATTACCCAGGCATGGTGGCGCCTGCCTGTAGTCCCAGCTACTCAGGAGGCTGAAGGAGAGGATCAGTTGAGCCCAGGAGTTGGAGGCTGCAGCGAGCCATGACTGTGCCACTGCACTCCAGCCTGGGCGATGGAGCAAGACTCTGTCTCAAAACAAAAACAAAAACAAACATGAACAAACCCGCTAATTATCTCCACATGAGCAGCTTACCTCTCCAGTAAGTTGTGAACAGCAGGAAAAAGTGATCGATTGGAGTTCTCCAGCGTCTTTCACTGTGTTTAGTGCAATGCCCTAAGCCTTATAGCAACACCGTAGGACCCAGATGAACTGCTACGGATGATGCTGGAAGTGCTCCCAAAAAGCAAAGGAAAGTCCTGACATTACAAGAAAAAGCTGGATTGCCTGATATGTACCATAGATTGAGGTCTGCAGCTGCGGCGGCCTGCCGTTTCAGACAGACCATTCATCTTGTAGACAGATGATATAAACTTACAGTAATCAGTGTCAGTACAGCACTGTCAATGTGTTTTCTCTCTGATTTTCTTAATAACATTTTATTTACTTTACTGTATATGATACATATACAAAAAACATGTTCATCGACTGTTTATGCCATTGGTAAGGCTTCTGGTTAATAGTAGGCTATTGTTACTTATGTTTTGGGGGAGTCAGAAGTTACACACGGATTTTTGATGGCACGGGGATTGGCAGCCCTAACCTCCATGTTGGTCAAAGGTCAACTGTGTTTGTGTGGGTGGGTGTATGTTTATGTTTTTTTTTTTTTTTTTTTTTGAGACGGAGTCTCGCTCTTTTGCCCAGGCTGGAGTGCAGTGGCGCGATCTCGGCTCACTGCAAGCTCCGCCTCCCGGGTTCACGCCATTCTCCTGCCTCAGCCTCCCGAGTAGCTGGGACTACAGGTGCCCACCACCACGCCCAGCTAATTTTTTTTTGTATTTTTAGTGGACACGGGGTTTCATCATGTTAGCCAGGATGGTCTCGATCTCCTGACCTCGTGATCCTCCCGTCTCGGCCTCCCAAAGTGCTGGGATTACAGGCTTGAGCCACCGCGCCTGGCCTGTTTATGTTTATATATAAAGACACACATAATACATATTATATACCTATATAAAATGTATAAAAATAATATGTTTATATATACAATAGATGTTTATATGGTATATATATGTTTATAGATACTATATATGTTTGTGTATAATATATACATTTCTTTCCTTCAAATTATTTGAACCAGTTTTAACATCTTATTGGTTTCTTCGTCAAAGTGTTGAATAAAATTTTACATCAAAGGCATGATTTGACCTTTTTGAAAACCATAATTTAGCACAGAAATAAAATGCTTCCCCCTTTACTTTAAAAGAACAACTCTCTATCTTAACATTTTTGTTTTCTTTTTTTTTTGAGGCAGAGTCTCACTCTGTTGCCCAGGCTGGAGTGCAGTGGCGCAGTCTTGGCTCACTGTAACCTCTTCCTCCCAGGTTCAAGCGATTCTCCTGCTTCAGCCTCCTGAGTAGCTGGGACTACAGGCGTGCGCCACCACGCCCAGCTAATTTTTGTATTTTCAGTAGAGACAGGATTTCACCATGTTGGCCAGGCTGGTCTTGAACTCCTGGCCTCAAGTGATCTGCCTGCCTTGGCTTCCCAAAAGTGCTGGGATTACAGGCGAGAGCCACTGTGCCCGGCCTCATTCTATCTTAACTTCGATTTATTTATCTGGAAAATGCTTCTAAGCCTGCAACAGCACAAGGAATGGGCAGCTCTTGGAGCACAGCTGTTTGTCTCCTCAGTCGGACCAAGTTCCTTGAGGTCAGAAAGTATGAGAAAGTACGATGTCTTTATTTCTGCTCTTGCAGACCTGCCCAGCTCTTGGCACAGAGCTGACGTTTTGTGAGTGGCTAAATGAGCAAAGCAAGGGGAATGGAACCGATTCTCGTAACTCTGAAAGAGATTGGGCAAGTATACTCCTGTTGGATAGATGAGGAAACTGATACACAGAGATGTAAGTGAATCGCTCAACCTCACAATGCTAGTCAGTCACCAAATGGGTTGGAACCCATGTTCCTAGTTCCACATATCCTGCAAGAGAGCGGTAGACTTTACAATGATGTAAGTGAATTGCTCAACCTCACAATGCTAGTCAGTCACCAAATGTGGCCAGAACGCATGTTCCCAGTTCCACGAATCCTGCAAGAGAGTGGTAGACTTTACAATGATATTTGTTGACCAACCAGCGAGATGGTGGCATCTTCACTGTTGGTGTCGGCTTCCTTGTTTATACTTTGTCTTTGTGGTTTCAGAGACTATTATTGTTATGAGCTCTTCGAACATTCTCCAGAGTGGAAGTTTCTTTCCCAAGAAGGACCAGGTTTTCCCCTTTGGTTGGCACTGATGTGGGCAAGCCCTGGGCAGGGCTTACGGTTCATGGCTTTCCTGCTGTGTGCTCAGCCTGGGTCCCTCCAGCTGGCCCGGCTGCTGATTCCAGCTTTCCACTCTGTCCTGCCCACACTGTGAGTGTCTTCCCCAAGGCAGACAAGCAGTGTCCACACTTCTGCAGCACCAGCCTTCGATGTGGGCAAGAGGAGTCCCTTCCCTCTGTCCCGTGCTCCATCGGATCCTGCTGTCTCCACTCCAGCTGTATCTCTCCCTGAGAGATGGGAATCACGTGGAATCGAGGGGTCTCACCCACGTAGAGCCTATCCCCCCTCCTTCCTTCTAGCCCACAATCCGAGTACCTGGGACCTCGGAGTTTCTTGCCCAAATAGCCTCAGCCTGCTTGTAGGGCCTATGTGGGCCTCTTTCCTGGGTCTTTCCTCCGGAGCACCCTTAGGCCCAAGGGCAGCATGGATGGAAACTGCACAGGGCAGGCTCAGGCGTCCACACCCAAGTGCTCACGGGACCTTCTCAGTGCTGGAGCTGGAAGTAGGAAGAGGAGGTGCAGGCCTGGGGCAGGCTGCAGAACCCTGAAGAATCTGAAATTCGAAATTTAAATCTGACCTTCCAGGTTGTTACGAAAGTATATTCGTCAAGGTAGGAGAACAGTGCATATTTCACTTAACAGTTTGTCATAACTTTTAATATTTAGACATAAGGTGCGTGGGCCGCTGTGCCTGCTCTTGCCCCAGGCTTTGCAACTGTGAAGAGCAGGTCTGTGCTTCCCTCTTCCTCCTTTGAGAACTCACTCCAACCGCTTCCTGATTTTCACTTCATACCTTAAAAAAAAAAAGGAAAAGAAAAACTCTACAACTAGTTAAGCAAATTGTACTACCTCCATATGGTGGACTACTTGGCTGCCTCTAAAAAAGAACGAGGCAGCTCATTTTAGGCTGATGTGGAACAAAGGCCAAGACTGTTCATGGAGAGGGAGCGAGGCGCGGTGTGTGCGGTTTGCTAACATCTGCTGCCCCCGTGCTCCACCCCAACCCCAGGACCTCCTTGCTGTTTCTCCGGCACCTGGAACACTCTTGCCCTGGCTGTCCTTGCTTTGTTCACGTGTTACCTTATCAGAGAAGCCTTTCCTGACCTTTCCCCTGTGTCCCTTTGCTGTGCTTACTCCCCTCCACAGCACGAGTGCAGCTTGACATGTACATCTGTTTATCTGTGTAGCACTTTCTCTTTCTATTAGAAACAGGAAAGCTGGAAACTTTGTTTTGTTCCCGGCTGTACCCCCATCACCTAAAGTAGTGTCTGGCATACAGCAGGCTTTCAATCAATACTTACCACATAAACACGTGTGTAAAAAAGGTGCCATCTATGCATATATGTATGTGCCTGGAATACTGCTAAAAGGATACATAAGAAATGGGTAAAATGACTGTCTCTTTGGAAGGAGAGGAAAAGACACTTCGTTTTCACTCTATCTTCTTTTGTGATCCTTCATTTTGTTGCCACATGGATATAATACTCATTTTGAATATTTTTTCTTTTTTTGAGACAGAATCTTGCTGTGTCGCCCAGGCTGGAGTGCAGTGGTGCGATCTCGGCTCACTGCAACCTCTGCCTCCTGGGTTCAAACAATTCTCCTGGCTCAGCCTCCCGAGTAGCTGGGATTACAGATGTGCGACATCATGCCTGACTAATTTTTCCATCTTTAGTAGAGACGGGGTTTCACCATATTGGCCAGGCTGCTCTCAAACTCCTGACCTCAGGTGATCCACCTGCCTCGGCCTCCCAAAGTGCTGGGATTATAGGTGTAAGCCACTATGCCTGGCCTGAAAATTTTTTTTAAGTTGCACAAATTCATCAACAGAAGGAAAAAATTTAAAAAGTGGTTGAGAGCTGGACATGGCAGCTCATGCCTGTAATCCCAGCACCTTGAGAGGCTGAGGCGGGCGGATCATCTGAGGTCGGGAGTTTGAGACCAGCCTGGCCAACATAGTGATATGCTGTCTCTACTAAAAATACAAAAATTAGACTGGTATGGTGGCTCCCGCCTGTAGTCACAGCTTCTTGGGAGGTTGAGGCATGAGAATTGCTTGAACCCAGGAGGCGGAGGTTGCAGTGAGCCAAGGTTGTGCCGTTGTACTCCAGCCTGGGTGACAGAGCGAGAACCTGTCTAAAAAAAATGGGGTTGAGTTCTGGTGTGGTGGCTTACACTTGTAATCCCAGCACTTTGGGAGGCTGAGGCAGGAGGATCACTCAAGGCCAAGAGTTCAAGACCAGCCTGGGCAACATAGGAAGACCCTATCTCTCCAAATTTTTTTTTTTTTTCTTTGAGAGAGAGTCTCATTCTGTTGCCCAGCTCACTGTGACCTCCTCCTCCTGGGTTCAAGTGATTCTCCTGCCTCAGCCTCCTCAGTAGCAGGGATTACAGGTGCGTGCCATCATGTTGCTAATTTTGGTATTTTTGGTAGAGACGGGTTTCACCATGTTGATCAGGTTGGTCTCGAACTCCTGACCTCATGATCTGCCCACCTCGGCCTCCCGAAGTGCTGGGATTACAGGCCTGAGCCACCATGCCTGGCCTAATTTTTTTAAAAAATTAGCCAGGTGTGGTGGTGCACCCACAGTCCCAGCTACTCAGGAAGCTGAGGCCGGAGGATCACTTAAGCCTGGGATTTCTAGGCTGCAGTGAGCCAGGATGCACCACTGCACTGCAGCCTGGTGACAGAATGAGACCCTCTCTCAAGAAAAAAAAAAAAAAAGTGGTTGAGTTTCATGATGGAATATTATATGGCAATGAAAAACAAACAATGGTCTAACGTGACCACCCGTACAAATCCCTCGAATGTGCAGCCAGAATCCTGTAAGTTTTGGAAGAATACAAATGGGCAAATCCATGGAGACAGAAGGCGGGTTAACGGTTGCAGGAGTTGCAGGGAGGGCGACATTGGGAGTGACTATTTCATGGACATACAATATTCTTGCCCCACCCCCGTCGACAGTGCTCAGAGAAAAAGAATGTTCTTATATTATCTTCCTTGTATGTGGAGGTTTATTACGGGAATTGGCTTACACGATTACGAGGGCTGAGAAGTATCACAATCTGCCACCTGCCAGCTGGAGAACCAGAGAGCCAGTGACAGAATTCAGTCCAAAAGCCAGAGAACCAGGAGTTTCACTGTTCGAGGACAGGAGAGGGTGGATGCCCCAGCTCAAGACCAGAGAGCAAGTTCATCCTTCCCCTCCTTTTTGCTGTGTCCCTACCTGACTGGATGATGTGCCCACTCACATTGGTGAGGGTGACCTTCACTCAGTCCACGATTCAAACGCAAATCCTTTCCAGAAACACCCTCTCAGACACACCCCCAAATAATGCCTAACTAGCCACCTGGGCATCCCTTATCCAGTCAAACTTACACTCAAAATTAACCATCAAAATTCTTATGGGGTGATTGAAAAACGTTTTGAAACTAGAGAGAGGTGGTGGTTGGATAACATTGCGAATGCTCTGAATGATACATGTTAGAATGGTTAATTGTATGTTATATGAATTTTGCCTCAATTTTTAAAAGCATGCAGCATGACTGGGCATGGTGGCTCACGCCTGTAATCCCAACAGTTTGTGAGGCCGAGGCAGGCAGGTCACTTGAGCTCAGGAGTTTGAGACCAGCCGGGTGTAGTGGTACGTGCTTGTAGTCTCAGCTAATCAGGAGGCTGAGGTGGGAGGATCGCTTGAGCCCAGGAGGTCAAGGCTGCAGTGAGCTGAGATCACACCACTGCACTCCAGCCTGGGTAACAGAGTGAGACCCTGTCTTAAAAACAAAAGAAAACAAAATAAAACAAAACATACAGTATGATACCATTTATGTAAAGTTTAAAACACACAAAACAGCCGGGTGTGGGGGCTCACGCCTGTAATCCCATCACTTTGGGAGGCCGAGGCGGGCAGATCACGAGGTCAGGAGATCAAGACCATCCTGGCTAACATGGTGAAACCCCATCTCTACTAAAAATACAAAAAACTAGCCGGACGTGGTGTCATGCGCCTGTAGTCCCAGCTACTCAGGAGGCTGAGACAGGAGAATGACTTGAACCCGGGAGGCAGAGGTTGCAGTGAGCCGAGATCGCGTCACTGCACTTCGGCCTGGGCAACAGAGCGAGACTCTGTCTCAAAAAAAAGTGTCAGAATGAAAAGTAGACTTTGCTGAAGACTGTCTCCACTCGAGCAAATTCTAGTCTCCTGTTGCATTTGTTTCCTGGGGCTGCCCTAGTAAATTACCACAAACTGGCTGACTTAAAACAAAATGGATGTATTATTTCACAGTCCGGCGGCCGGAAGGCTGAAATCAAGGTGTCAGCAGGGTGGTCCTCCCTCTGGAGGCTGCAGGGGAGAATCCGTCCTTCCTTCCTCCCGTTTCTGGGGGCCCCAGGTGTCCCTGGGCGTGTGGCTGCATCACTCCAATCTCTGCCTCCATCTTCCTAGGGCCGCCTTCTAGTCTCTACGTACATCTTATAATGATGCTTGTCACTGGATTTAGGGCCTACGAAATGTCCAGGATGATCTCATCATGACAGCCTCAATTTAATTATGTCTGCAAAGACCCTTTTACCAAATAAAGTCACAGTCACAGGTTCTGGGAATTAGGATGTGGACATATATTTTTCAGGCCATCATTCAACCTACTAGATCTATAAATCCGAGTTTCTTTCCTTTTTTTTTCTGAGACAAGGTCTGCTGTGTCCCCCAGGATGGAGTGCAGTGTCGCAATCAAGGCTCACTGCAACTCCACCCGCCAGGTTCAAGCGATCCTCCTACCTCAGCCCCTCAACCTGCCCGGCCTCCGTAGCTGGGAGTACAGGCACGCACCACCACACCCTGCTAATTTTTTTATTTTTAGTAGAGACACGGCGCTCGCCATGTGGCCCAGGCTGGTCTCAAATTCCTTGGGCTCAAGTGAGCTTTGAGCTTCCTGCTTTGGCTTCCCAAAGTGCTGGGATCACAGGCGTGAGCCACTGTGCCCGACCTAAATCCAACTTTCATTCTTTTTTCCAATTCCACCCCCCCCTCTTCCCTGCAGTGCAGGTGCTGGCAGGTGGAAGGAGGGCTCTCTTCTCTTTCTCCGTCATCCTTCTGCTTTGATCCTCTCCAGATCTGGGCATCGGAGGATTTCCCGGGAGCCCGTTTGTAATACATCCTCAGGCCGGCCTCTTGATCCTCTCCAGAGGCGCATCTCAGCCTCTGGTGACGGGTTCCCTTGCCCCCGGGGCTTCTTCAAGGCTGCTTGACCCCCGCTTTCTTCCAGTTTCTACTTGGCTTTTGGGAAACTCTCCTGGTCAGACAGTGGGAAGGAGGCCTGCTCCGCCTGGTCAAGAGTGGGAAGGGGGGCCGCTCCGCCTGGTCAAGAGTGGGAAGCGGGGCCGCTCCGCCTGGTCAGAGGGTGGGAAGGCGGGCCCGCTCCGTCTGGTCAACAGTGGGAAGGAGGCCTGCTCCATCTCTACGCAGTTTTGCCGCACTACTGCAAGCACAGAGCAGTTTCCTCACCCCTAATTCTCCAGGCTAGAAATAGGTAACAGGCTCTGGACACATGGTTTGGGTTAAGGGGTGGGGTGGGGGTGGGAGGGTGACCCCGGGGGACATTTGGCAACACCCGAAGACATTTTTTATTGTCACAGCTGGGGGTTGGATGTGTGCCACTATGATTTAGGGGGTAGAGGCCAGGGATGCTGCTACACATTGTACCATACACAGGACAGCCCCCTCACCCCCCAGAGGAATACCTGGCTGAAAAAGTCAATCGTGCTGTGGCTGAGTAACCCTGCTCAGGGTTACTGCGCCCGAACTCCAGGACCCCACACTCTGCTCCTGGAGCTGTGGAGTGCCAGCCAGGCTTCTGGGGAGGGAGAGGGCCATCCTGCAGGCAGCCTTGATTTCTTGGAAGGATCTTCTGGTTGGGGTCGGGGGGGGTGTGGGTGAAGGGAAAACACAGGTGGGGTTAAAGACAAACTTGTCTTCTCATAACCTGTTGACCTGTTGCCTGGGTAGCTCCCCTCCCAAGGAATACGGTCCTCTGGTATCAGTGGGGAGGGAGTGAGGGGCAAAGGACCAGCTTGGTTCCCTCTTGGAAAGTCTTGAAGGGTATCTGGCAGCTCCTGTTGAGCAGTGAAGGTCCTTATCACTTATCCACCTCAGTGAATATGTCTGAATGTATCCCAAAGGCTTATGTGCTGGCAACTGAATCCCAGTGTAACAGTGGTAGGGGGTGGACATGTTCAATAAGAGCCTGATACGAGGTGACTAGGTCATGAGGGCTGAGCCCTCTTGAATGGGTTAATAGTGTTCTGGCAGGGCTGGGTGCGGTGGCTCACGGCTGTAATCCCAGCACTTTGGGAGGCCGAGGCGGGCGGATCACGAGGTCAGGAGATCGAGACCATCCTGTAAATGGTGAAATCCCATCTCTACTAAGAATACAAAAAATTAGCGGGGCATGGTCGTGGGCACCTGTAGTCCCAGCTACGTGGGAGGCTGAGGCAGGAGAATGGCGTGAACCTGGAAGGCGGAGCTTGCAGTGAGCTGAGATCGTGCCACTGCACTCCAGCCTGGGTGAAAGAGCGAGACTCTGTCTCAAAAAAAAAAAAATTTTTGTTCTGGCAGAAGTGAGTTAGGTCTCATGAGAGCACGTTGTTCTAAAGTGAGCTGACCCTGGCGACTCTCCCTCCGCTGTGCGCACACTGGCTTTTGCCTTCTAACTTCCACCGAGATGACCTGCCCTCGCCACATGCTGGTGCCATGCTCTTGGACTTCCCAGGCTCCAGAACCATGAACTGAATATACTTTTTTTCTTTATAATTTACTCGGTCGGTGGCATTATGTTATAGAAACAGAGAACAGACTAAGACAGCGCTCCTAGTAGAAATTCCTAGACAATAGGAAGTGCCCAGTAGTGTTCATTTATTCACTTGAAGTCTGCTCCCCTCTCTAGACAGCAAGCTCCTTGGAGGCAGGGGATTCTCTTCACCTCTGTATCCCCAGCTCCTGCAACTGTGCATAACAATTATCTGTTGATGAGTAAATGAAGAGTTCGCCTTATTTAGAGAATCGTTGGATTTATGGCTAGCAAGATCTCTCTCTCTCTCTGTCTCTGTCTGTCTGTCTGTCTGTCTCTCTATTAGTAATCCCAGTAATTTATTTGAAGAAAGAGAAGAAATGAGCTTGCTTGGACCAAGGAGCAAAAAGCAAAGACAGGAGACCACTTTGAATGTCATTGAGTAGATGGGGAATGAGGCTCTTGCCTAGATTATGGGAAGAGGAGTTAGTAAAAGGGCTGTATCACCAGCCCCTCCCCATGACATTGGAGTGAGGGGCTGTGCAGCTGGGTGGCTGGTTAGGGTGGGGTGCACACGTGTGGAGTGCGGGGCTGTGCAGCCCGGTGGCTGGTTAGGGTGGGGTGCACACGTGTGGAGTGAGGGGCTGTGCAGCCCGGTGGCTGGTTAGGGTGGGGTGCACACGTGTGGAGTGTGGGGCTGTGCAGCCCGGTGCCTGGTCTAGGGTGGGGTGCACACGTGTGGAGTGAGGGGCTGTGCAGCCCGGTGCCTGGTCTAGGGTGGGGTGCACACGTGTGGAGTGAGGGGCTGTGCAGCCCGGTGGCTGGTCTAGGGTGGGGTGCACACGTGTGGAGTGAGGGGCTGTGCAGCCCGGTGGCTGGTTAGGGTGGGGTGCACACGTGTGAACACCTGTGTGGCATCAGCCCCCACTCTGCAGTGAGCATGCAGGAGCCCCCCCACCCCACCCACCATGAGAGGATGAGGCCGCCTCACACTGGGTCGGGGGAAGGGGAGTGGAACGGTCCTGAGTGTGCTGCCTTGTGGGCCAAGGGGACAAACGCTGGGGCAGGAGAGAAGGGAGTGGTTTCTGGAGTTAGCCAGGAGGCTGCACCTGTGTTCACCTGTTAGCTATCCTCAGGGCACAGACAGAAAAAGATGGTTTTGTTACTGTCATTCGGACCTTATGTGGTAAGACCTGGGAAAACAGGGGTTAAGTGAAACATGTGAGAATCCCGTCTAGGAAGAGCTGGCACAGAGCAGAGGTGCAACGAGTGTTTACTGAAAGCTGTAATGGTGAATAGAAGGTTGGGCGATTGGGTTCGTGTGGGCTCCACAGGGGTACAGCTATAGCCAAGAGGAAGGCTTCAGGGAGGCAGCCTCGGGTCACCTATGCGTCTTTCTCAGGCGGTTGGCCATCCCAAGGAAGGTCGAGTCACCCCAGAGACACGGAGTGGTCTACCCCCGTCTGTGCAAGCGGCGGTGCGAGCAGCTCCTGGGGGCTGGGGGGTGGGCTAAGGCCAGCGGAATTCCTGCACCCTTGAGGCTTTAGGGTTAGGAGGTGAGGAGGGAATATTAACATTAAGAATGCTCTCCAGCTGAGGGGCCTACAGTGAGCGAGACCTGGGGTCACGACCTCATTCAGTCATCACAACAGGACTATTGTTGTCTCTGTTTTGCACATAAAGAAACTGAGGCTTGGAGTTCGAGACCAGCCTGGGTAACACAGTGGGACCTCGTCTCTACAAAACATACAAAAATTGGCCGGGCGTGGGAGCGGTGCCTGCGGTCCCGACTGCCGGGGAGGCTGGGGTGAAAGGGTCGCTGGAGCCCAGGAGGCGGAGGCTGCAGTGAGCCGCGCCCCTGCCGTCCAGCGAGACCGTGGGGACCCGCCCCGCGGCGAGGTCACCATCCAGAGGCCGCCCAGCAGGTGCCCTCCGGCCCGGGCTCTGCGGCCACAGGTCCCAGCGGGGCGGGGCGGGGCGGGCGCCGGTTTCACGGTTTTGCCGCCAGAGGGCAGCGAGGGAGCGCGCGGGCTGCGGGGCCGAACCCCGGGTGAGTCCGGGGGGGAAGCGGGGCCGCCCCGGGTCCGGGGCCCAGTCCGAGGGCGGGGGGTGCGCGCGGCTCAGCGGCGGGGCCGGCGGGGCGCACAGGGAGGCGGCGGGGACCTGGGAGCTCTTGGCGCCCCGGGCGGGGGCGGTTCCGGGGCCGGCGGGGCGCGGGCAGGGCCTGGAGCTGGGTTTCCTCCCGCCGGCGGCCGGAGCCTGGGCTGCACCCGACTCCCCCGAGCAGCGCCCGGGCCCGGAGCCCCCCGCTCCGAACGGCCTGCGCTCCGCCCCGACCTCGGGGACCCTCGGGGACCCTGTGGTGCCCCCAGCTCGGGGTGCGGGTGGGGGGGGGCGGGGACGCGGCGGGGGGTGGGGGAGGGCGGCGCCGGGTGAGTTCCGGGGAGCGAGTCCACAGCGCGGCGTTTCCCAGCGCCCGCCCCGGCGCGCACGTGCGGGGAGGGGCCCGGGGGTCCAGGCTGCCGCCCCTCTGCACCTGGCCTCGCCTGCGGCGTGGACCCGACGCCCCACGAGACTGGGGGCCCCCGTGGGGGCCCCGGGCCCTGCACACTTGGGCTTTCGCCCGCGGCTGGGTGGTCGGAAGGGGGGTCGTGCGTGCAGGATTTGGGGGGCCCTTCTCACAGCCGAGACCGACGACGCCTCCACTCGCCCCGCCCATCCCTTCCAGCCTGAGTCCCGCGGGGTTGGCTTCCAGCCCTCCCAAAGCCGCTTCCCGGAGTCGGGCGGAGGCGTCGGGGAAGCGCTTCCATCCGTCCCAGGCGCCTCACTGCTCGGGACGACGGCTCTGGGCCCGCCGTGGAGCCGCCTTTCCTTTCCTGCGCCGCACGGAGGCCTCTGCCGGGGGCGCTGGGGCTTGTGCCTCCTGCCCGGCTGCTCAGAGGGCAGAGCGACCCCAGGGTCGCCTGGGTCCGTAACACCTTGGGGGTCGTCCTGCGGGGAGGCGTCTTGCTGCAGGTGGAGACCCGTCCCCGGGGAGATCAGAGCCACGGAGATTCCGGGGAATGGTCACTGTCACCCTACATCTGTGCAGCGCGCACCTTTGACCCTCCCGGCAGCCTGAGGGCAGGGGGAGCCCTGGGGACGCCCCTGCAGACCCTGGTGGGCGCGTGGGTAGAGCCAGGACTGCAGTCCCGTCCCCGCCCCGCCCCGCCCGACACCGGGGGAGATCGCGCCCCGGGCCGCCTCCAGCCCCCAGCCCCACCCCCACTCCGCGTCTCTGACATCCCCTCGGCCTCCCATCTCCCATCTCCTGAAAAACACAAAACCCGGCATCGGAGCCGTCAGCTTGTTTCCTCTTTTCTCTGTCACGTTTTCCCACAAGAGCTCGGCACCTGCTGCCCCCTCCCCTCCAGCCGCCCCCTCCCCGCCAGCCGCCCCCCTCCATCCTCTGCAGCCTGGCTGCTGGTGGCCACTTTGCTGAAACTTCTAAACCCAAAAGTCGTTTTGTTTCCAAACACGCCTCTTCTGTGGTGCCTCGGTCGCTCTCCCCGGGAAGCGGACCCCTGCGCGCTGGTGTCCAGCTTGCAGCCTCCCCGCCGTCACTTCTGGGCATGCCTCTCTCCTGGTTCCTTCTCCTTTGCTGAGCCTTTTTCCCTCTTTCCTGGGACTGTTTTCCCAGGCCCTGTGTTGTACTTCTCACGGGGCTGGCTCCAGGAGTCCTCTGGGAATGCCCCCTCTGACTTCCAGCCCACCCTGTCTTGCTCTCTGGGTGCCACGGTGTCACCGCAAACTCAGCGCACCCGACTGGTCTCCTCCCAGGCAGCTGCCCTCACTCACTTCCCGCTGGTGGGTTTCCCTCATTCTCTGTCATTTACACTGGTCTCCAAAATGTGTCTGCCTCTCCCCTCTCCTTTGTGATGGATTCCTACAGGCCTTGAACATCTCAGTCCAGAGTACAGAGGCCTCTTAGCTGTTCTCTCTCCTGTGGGAACCCCCTCCAGCCCCATGTGGCAATCCATCCGGCATGTCCCTTCTAGAATGATGGTTCGTTTCACCCTGTCACCGACCCCCGCCCCACCGAGATATCTTCAGAGGCTCCATATGTCCTCCTGGGCAAAGCTCAGCTCCCCTGCCTGCATTTGAAGGCCCTCAGTCACGTGGCCTCATTCTCTCAAACTAATTTCCAATCCTGAAGCTTCTTGCCTCCTGCCCCTGGTTGGGCCCTCTCGCCCCTACCCTCTGGGACTTGGCTCAGGTGCAGTTTCCTTGGAAAAGCTTTGCTCACCTCCCTGGCTGCACCGGGGACCCTTCCCTGGCTTTGCTCACCTCCCTGGCTGCACCGGGGACCCTTCCCACTCCACGATGCCCTCAGGCCACCAGCTGCAGCTGTCGGCTGATCTCACATCCCCTTCTGTCCCTGATGGCAGCGGGAAGCTTGTTCCCCTTCTCTCTGGCTCTCCAGGACTGGGCGCCCTGCAAGCACTCAATGGAGGCATTCCCACCCTCAGGCCTCCAAGAACACCTCCCCAGCATCCTTAATACAATTGAGAGTTCAGTTCAAGCACCACCTCCCTCCTGGACGGTTCCGTTCGTCCAGTCCATCTGCGTTCCTGCTGGGCTTGTTGATGGATCCGTTGCAGGTTGTCCCACACGGTTTAGTATTTTGTTCTCTGCTATTAGCCTCCCACTGTATCATGAGTGCGAGATATACTTTTCCAGCTCTTAATCATTGCAGCTGTTTGTTGAGTGGGTTGTCCCGTGCCGGGCAGTGTGCTAATCATTCCAGGTAGTCCCTCGTTTTCCTTTATCTTAGAAACATCCAGAGGGGTAAGCATTAGGATTATTGTCCTCATTCTGTTCATAAGGACACAGAGAGGGCCAGAGACCTTCCTAAATCACACAGCATATAGGTGGCCAAGGTGGAGGCTGGAACTCAAGTCTGTCTGACTCCTAAGGCTGTTTTTAGATGCTAGGATTTGCCGTTTGTCCAGGAAGGCGTGTTTTTCAGTCCAGGGAGTGTGTGTTACATTTCCATGTCTTCTCAGCCCCTGGCCCAGGTGTGCAGGACTTCCTGGTGGCTCGGTTGGTTGCTTGCTTGCTTGGGACTCTGCTGGACTCCAGGAAAGGACTTTGTAACAAACAGATGGTTAATGATGGGACCAGTGATCCAGGGAGGCTATGACATCAGCCCCAGGAGGCCTTGGAAACAGGCCGTGTTTTTCTGTCTTGCCTTAAGTAAGAGTTGTGAATAGAGAGAACCTTGCAAGGGCCCTGGGATCATTTCTGCCTCTTAAGGCACCTTAAAATGCCCTTTTTTTGTAAACAAAACTAACTCCCCTCACCCCAAATGGGAAAGCCTTCAACTAAGTTTCTTTAGGAGACGTCCTTCCGTCCTTCCCTTCTCTGTGCAGGTCACTGTCATATGAAAACGAACTCCTGCTGTGAAACACGGTTACCATGGCAACCGGTCTTGCAAGGCTGGAATCTCCTGCTCCTGGGCCTCTTGCACTGTATGCTTTGAGGGGATTTCTTCCGTCTTTGTCATCTAAAAAAACAAAATACTCCAGTTCACTCTTCTTTTGCATCAACATTTAAAAACATTTTTTTCCCAGGCAGTGATTTTTGGGTACTTTGGGTGCCCCAGCAGGTTGTCATCAGGCCGCTGGCACACCATTAATAATGACCCCAGCAAAGTCACTGTGGTCGAGGTCCCATTTTGAGTGACATCCAGTGCCTCATGCATGAAAGGACAGTAGCTGCGGCCGCCACACATCTCTGATGCCTGGAGAGGCTGAGGGACAGGAGTGATCTGGCGTGGAAGGGAGGGCTTGCTGGTGGAGCTCAGCTCTAGCTGGAGATGGTAGAGTTGCTTGTCCTCAGTTGCGATCTCCTTTTCTTTGAGGACGTTGCTCACAGATATCCGGGCAGGGGACGCCCAGAGCAGGGTACTGCAGGGGTGTTGAGAAAGACAGGATACCTTCAGCAGGAATCATTGCTATGAACACTGATGAGTGCTCACCTTGTGCAGATGCTGCTCCCTTGTTTAAACCTCAGCCAAATGATGTTAGAGTACTATTCCCATGTTACAGGTAAGAAAACTGCTGCACAGAGAGGTTGAGTGTTTGTCCAAAGACACACAGCAAGGAGGGAACTTTAGTCCTAGAAAGTCTGACTCCTTTGGCCAATAGTCTTTAAAAAATTTTTTTTTCATCTTTTTATTACCCAGACTTCAAGGAGATGGCCAATACCCTTTACATGGTGCTCTGTAGACAGTGGAAGGACCATGTTTAAAGAATGAAAGGGTAAATTGGAGAGGTGGGGCACATTGGCTTTCCCAAGATTTGAGGCTTAAAGCAGTAGTTTTCAATGATGTATATTTTAGGATGGGTTGCAGTGAAAAGGCATATACTAGAATGTTCATAGCAGCACTATTTGTAATAGCCAAATCCACCCCCCAGGGAAATCCTACAATGTTTATCAGCAGTAGAATGGACACATAAACTGGGGTGAAGGCAGACAATGGAGCACCCCACTGTGGTGAGAAGGAACAATCTGACCACACAGCATACGTGGATGAATCACACAAACACAATGTCGAGTAAAAGGAACGAGACAGAAAGGAGCATGTCCTGCCTGATTCCACGTCTATAAAGTGCCAAAAGGGCCAAATGCACGGACGGTGTTGGAAGTGGGGGTCGTGGTTTCCGGGAGGTATGAGGAGGGCTTCTGGGAGCGATGAGGAGGGCTTCCGGGAGGCATGAGGACGGCTTCCGGGAGGGATGAGGAGGGCTTCCGGGAGGGATGAGGAGGGCTTCCGGGAAGCATGAGGAGGGCTTCCGGGAGGGATGTGGGGGGGGGGGCTTCCGGGAGGGATGAGCAGGGCTTCTGGGAGGGATGTGGGGGGCTTCCGGGAGGGATGAGGAGGGCTTCCGGGAGGGATGTGGGGGGCTTCCGGGAGGCATGAGGGGGGCTTCCGGGAGGGATGAGGAGGGGTTCCGGGAAGCATGAGGAGGGCTTCCGGGAGGGATGTGGGGGGGGGGCTTCCGGGAGGGATGAGGAGGGCTTCTGGGAGGGATGTGGGGGGCTTCCGGGAGGCATGAGGAGGGCTTCCGGGAGGGATGAGGAGGGCTTCCGGGAGGGATGAGGACGGCTTCCGGGAGGGATGTGGAGGGCTTCCGGGAGGGATGTGGAGGGCATCCGGGAAGCATGAGGAGGGCTTCCGGGAGGGATGAGGACTTCCGGGAGGGATGAGGAGGGCTTCCGGGAAGCATGAGGAGGGCTTCCGGGAGGGATGTGGGGGGAGGCTTCCGGGAGGCATGAGGAGGGCTTCCGGGAGGGATGAGGAGGGCTTCCGGGAGGGATGTGGGGGGCTTCCGGGAGGGATGAGGAGGGCTTCCGGGAGGGATGAGGGGGGGCTTCCGGGAAGCATGAGGGGGGCTTCCGGGAGGGATGAGGACGGCTTCCGGGAGGGATGTGGAGGGCTTCCGGGAGGGATGTGGAGGGCATCCGGGAAGCATGAGGAGGGCTTCCAGGAAGGATGAGGGCTTCCGGGAGGGATGAGGAGGGCTTCCGGGAGGGATGAGGGGGGCTTCCGGGAGGGATGAGGACGGCTTCCGGGAGGGATGAGGAGGGCTTCCGGGAGGGATGAGGGGGGCTTCCGGGAAGCATGAGGGGGGCTTCCGGGAGGGATGAGGAGGGCTTCCGGGAGGGATGAGGGGGGCTTCCGGGAAGCATGAGGGGGGCTTCCGGGAGGGATGAGGAGGGCTTCTGGGAGGGATGAGGAGGGCTTCTGGGAGGGATGAGGAGGGCTTCCGGGAGGGATGAGGAGGGCTTCCGGGAAGCATGAGGAGGGCTTCCGGGAGGGATGAGGAGGGCTTCCGGGAAGCATGAGGAGGGCTTCCGGGAGGGATGAGAAGGGCTTCCGGGAGGCTGGTACTGCCTGGTTCCTTTAATGGGGTGTCAGTCAGAGGGCTGCGTTCTTTCCATCAATGCCAACGCTTACCCGTTCCATGTGTGTACTCCTCTGTGTATGTGTTAGACTTAATACAATGGAGCGAAACAGGAAAAAAGGCTGCAGGGATCCTAAACCCGGGACGTGAATACAGACACACCATTCCAAGAGGCCACTTTGACTTCACTGTACCTGCAGCCTTGGGTTTCTCGTGACAGGTGGGAGGTGACATGAGGGTGAGCACCTAGGCTCCGGAGGGGTCAGCTCTGGGAACGAGGCAGCTGAGCCCGGGCTGGCTCTGGTTTCTTCCTGTCTACCTCCACCCTGCTGGGTCTGGGGAGAGCTCTCTTAGCTACAAGGTGGCTGCTTGGGTTGGGAGAGCCCCTGAAGTGGCCCTTTTCCTTGCTTTTGGGATGCTTGGGGGTGTAAGCACGGTGATGTGTGTACCCCCAGCTGGCTGTGGGGAGTCCGGCCAGCCTGTAGAAATTGCAGAACACGAGCGGAGCTGCAGCCCCGGGCACAGACATCCTCACCCCTCTGACAGCAGCTGGCTGCCTGCAAAGCACTGGCATTTCAAGGCCTGTGCCAGCCTGTACAGTAAGCAGCATTCATTGGGAGGGCGGCTTCTCCATTCACATGGCAGTTATCTGCTGCTGAAAATACCAGAGCACCTTATGTAAGACCGCAATTACGTCGTTAGCACCTCGTGTAAGAGCACTTATTTTACCATGGACACTTAATCAGTTGCGTGTTGGATACTGACGATCCGGTCCTGTCTCCATCACCCAGCTGTGCTCATGGCTAAATTTACATGTTGGTGCATTTTCATCTTTGGTTCTGGCCCATCCAAGCCGTTGAGTGACGCCAGGATTTAGTCTCCTCTTGCCCAGCCCCTCCTTCTCACTCATGGATGGAGTGATGGAGTACCCCCTGACTGACAGAGGTGCAGCATCTCAGAGTTAGGAGGCCTGCCTTCCTCATCCAAGAGTCTTCTCCACCAGTAGCCGGATGGGCGACCATTTGGGCTGTGCTCCAAGGCTGCCGATGATGTCGGCAGCCTGTCTCGGGGTGGGTGATGGTTTTCATAGTAAGGAGGAGCCACAGAGCTGCACTGAGGCCTGGAGTATCCCAGGGAGGTATGAATGCCTGGCTGAAGCCGACAAGGAGACATATCATAGAGATGGGGTCTGTAAATCTCTGGGATCCGAGGCTTGGAAAGGAACATCATGGTGGATGCAGTTTGGTGAGAACTGTTAAAATAAATGCAGCTGCCCTGTGACATAGTGATTCAGTGATTCTACTTCTCAGGATCTACCCTAAAGAAATGCTGGCACCTGTGCACAGGTGACAACTTCTGGGACAGCCTTTGTGACGGTCTGTGGTGGTGAAAGATCGTACACAGTCTGAATGTTTGTTCGTGGTGAGACAGCTCCGTAGACTTGTATTTTCATACCTTGGGCTACTGCGCAACGTTGAAAAGGAATTAGAACTTTATATAAGAACATGAATGACAAGGTGGGCAGATCACCTGAGGTTAGGAGTTCAAGACCAGCCTGGGCAACATGGTGAAACCCCATCTCTACTAAACATGTAAAAATTAGCCAGGTGTGGCAACACACGCTTGTAATCCTAGCTACTTGGGAGGCTGAGGCAGGAGAATCACTTGAACCCGGGAGGTGGAGGTTGCCATGAGCTGAGATTGAGCCACTGCACTCCAGGCTGGGCGACAGGGCAAGACTCTGTCTCAAAAAAAAAAAAAAAAAAAAGTGATGTCTAGTCTAAACCCCTTCCTGAGTGGAGATTCTTTGCTCCATTGGTCCCTGAGTCCTAGGTGGACTGAGACAGAGAGCTTCACTGCATAATGCTTTGCATTCAGGGGCAGCTCAGAAGGTGGAAATTCTTCCCTCTTTTGAGCTGAAATCTGCCTTTGTTGTCCCTCTGGAGCCTACACCTTCCCTTTTCCATGGGGCAAGAGTTTCATTGGTTTACGTTCCCTCTTGTGCCCTCCTCCTCTGGGCACCTCCAGGGTTTCCTGTTGTCTATAGGGTAATACAGCCCATGGCCTCCCGGGTCTGTGGTGCCGGCTCCTTGCTCACGCTCTGCCAGGCTCACCAGCCATCCCCTAAAGTCTGTGCAGAACTGGACTGTCCGCCTGGATGTTGCTTGACTTTCACATAAGAGTTCTTTAAAAAAAAAGTCTTTTTTTTTAAATTATAAAAGTAATTCATGTTCATTGTGGAAAATTTAGAAAATGCAGAAAGCACAAAGAGGAAAATAAAAATCCGTGATTCCCAACCTCCAGAGATAGCCAGTGTTTACTGCTTAAAAATGGAGATGATACTGTAGACATGATTTGGTAACCTGCGTTGATTTCTCTATATTGACTGACATATGTAACAAACATTTTTCCCCTCCTTTTGGCATTTTTCTTTGGTTATTTTTCTCTTTTTAAAGATCTTGTTGCATACCAAGTATTACGATTATTTTTAAACATAGAGAAGGTTTAAATGTTTATGTGGTAATACAGACTGAACGTTTGTGTTCCCCAGTATTCCTGGGTTGTGGCGTTCACCCCTAGTGCAGCTGTGTGTGGAGTCAGGAAGTAATTAAGGTTAAATGAGGTCAGAAAGGTGGGGCCCTGATGCAATACGTTAGTGTCCGTATAAACACAGATGCTGGAGAGCGCTCTCCCTCCCCTTCCCCATCCCCCTCCCCTCTCCCCACTCTCTCTTTCTCAACCTCTCTCTTTGTCAATCTCTCTCTCTCTCTCTCTTTTTAAACTGAAAAAAAATGTTTTATAACAGAGATGGGGTTTTGCTGTGTTGCCCAGGCTGGTCTCCATCTCCTGGGCTCAGGCAACCCTCCCACCTCGGCCTCCCAAAGTGCTAGGATTACAGGCACGAGACACTGCGCCTCGCCTCTCTCTCCCTTTGTCAATCTCTCTTTCTCTTTCTCAATCTCTGTCTCTCTCTCCTTTTCTCAATCTCTCTCTCCCTCTCTCTTTCTCTCTCCTTCTCTCTCTCTCTTGCTCTCTCTCTCCCCCTCTTCTCCCCACTCTCTCTGTCTCTGTCTCTCCCTTCCCCTGGGCCCTCACCATGTCCACAAGCCAGGAGGAGAGGCCTCGCCATAATCGGAGCCAGCTGGCACCTTGATCTTGGACTCCCCAGCCTCCAGGACTGTGAGAAGAAATGCCAGCTGTGTAAGCCGCCCTGTCTGCATATTTCATGGCAGCCTGAACTGACTAATGCATTTCATTAAGTCCATCAGTCTTTTCATCTTATGATTTTTCAAAAACCCTCTGTTTTGGGGTTTGAAACGTTTTCCTCACCCCAAGTTCAGATAAATGTTCAGTTCTATATTTTCTTCAGGTTCTTTTTTGGTTTCAGCCTTTCCATTCAGCTCTCTTTGACTTTCAATGCTAATCCAATCAAAATTTATTTTGTTTTGTGATGGAAGGGAAGACCTCGATTTTCTTTCTTTCCAAATTGTTGACCTATTATTTCAGTTCACTTTCTTTGCCCACAAGCTGTATTTTAAACTTAAATTTAATTTATTTTTGGAAGATACATTATGAGCATGTCATTTAAGGGGCCGGGTGCAGTGGCTTACGCCTGTCATCCCAGCACTTTGGGAGGCCGAGGCGGGTGGATCACCTGAGGTCAGGAGTCCAATACCAGCCTGGCCAACATGGTCATCCCCATCTCTACTAAACCCCATCTCTACTAAAAATACAAAAATTAGCTGGGTGTGGTGGCTGGCACCTGTCATCCCAGATACTCTGGAGGCTGAGGCAAGAGAATTGCTTGAGCCTGGGAGGCAGAGGTTTCAGTGAGCAAGATTGCACCACTGCTCCCCAGCATTGGCAACAGAGCGAGACTCTGTCTCAAAAAAAAAAAAAAATCATGTCATTTAAAATTCTAAAGGTGTAAAAAGGCAAATGGTGAGAGTCTTCCTCCTCCTTTATCCCTCAGCCTTTCGGGTCCAGGAACTGGTGTTACTAGATTTGAGGTATCCTTCTCTTTCCCTAACTGACTTGAAGTATTAGCTCATCTGCACACTGCACTTTTCTTTACCCATTTTTTCCCTTTTAGATTATTATTGATTTGTAGGAGATCTCCGTATGTCCGCGTACTGGTACTAATCAGATGTCTATTATGCTGCAAATATGTCTCTCAGTTTGTGGCTTGCTTTTTATCTATCTTAATGCATCTTTTGAACAAAATAGTCAAATGCTTCAGTAAGCTTACCATGAACTAAAGTTCAGTAGTTGTTTATGGTATTTTTCTTCCATGGTAAAACATGCATGCAACGAAATACACAAATCTTACCTGCTCCATCTGATGAGCTCAGATAAACACGCAGGCTTGTGCAACCCAGGCTGCTATCAAAATAGAGAACGTGACCACTGTCCCAGAGCATTCTCTCACACCCCGTCCCCGTCAATCCCTGTCCCACTCCCCCCGCAGTCAGCCACTCTCACGCCCCGTCCCCGTCAATCCCTGTCCCACTTCCCCTGCAGTCAGTCACTCTCACACCCCGTCCCCGTCAATCCCTGTCCCACTCCCCCCGCAGTCAGCCACTCTCACACCCCGTCCCCGTCAATCCCTGTCCCACTTCCCCTGCAGTCAGTCACTCTCACGCCCCGTCCCCGTCAATCCCTGTCCCACTTCCCCTGCAGTCAGTCACTCTCACACCCCGTCCCCGTCAATCCCTGTCCCACTCCCCCCGCAGTCAGCCACTCTCACACCCCATCCCCGTCAATCCCTGTCCCACTCCCCCTGCAGTCAGTCACTCTCACACCCCGTCCCCGTCAATCCCTGTCCCACTCCCCCTGCAGTCAGCCACTCTTTGGAGTTTTTTCACCAGAGATTAATTTTTTTTTTTTTTTTTTTTGAGACAGAGCTTTACTCTTGTTGCCCAGGCTGGAGTGCAATGGTGCGATCTCTGCTCACTACAACCTCCGCCTCCTGGGTTCAAGTGATTCTCCCGCCTCAGCCTCCCGAGTAGCTGGGATTACAGGCGTGTGCCACCACACCCAGCTGATTTTTCTATTTTTAGTAGAGACTGGGTTTCACCATGTTGGCCAGGCTGGTCTTGAACTCCTGACCCCAGGTGATCTTCCAGCCTCAGCCTCTCAAAGTGCTGGGATTACAGGCATGAGCCACTGCACCCAGCTACCATAGGTTAATTTTACCTGTACTGGAACTTCATGTAAATGGGATCATACAACGTGTGTTCTTTTGTGAAAGGCGTCTCTCGCTCTCATTTGGCATGACGTTGTTGAGATTCACCCCAGTTGTTGTTTGGGTCGGTAGTTGCTTCCTTTTGGTCAGCAGTATTCCTTGCTATGAGTATGTATAAGTTGCTTATCTATTCACCTGGTGATGGACCTCTGGGCTGTGTTCATTTTTGGCTATTATCAATGGAGTGGCCATAAGTATTCATGTTGACCTTGTTTTTCATTCCCGTCATATACTTTGTTTCTCTTACCTGTTTTTTTTGTTTGTTTGTTTGTTTTTTGATACGGAGTCTCGCTCTGTTGCCCAGGCTGGAGTGCAGTGGCGCGATCTTGGCTCACTGCAAACTCTACCTCCCGGGTTCACGCCATTCTCCTGCCTCAGCCTCCCGAGTAGCTGGGATTACAGGCACCCGCCACCACACCCAGCTAATTTTTTATATTTTTAGTAGAGATGGGGTTTCACTGTGTTAGCCAGGATGGTCTCAATCTCCTGACCTTGTGATCCGCCCGCCTCGCCTCCCAAAGTGCTGGGGATTACAGGTGTGAGCCATTGCACCTGGCCCTCTTACCTGTTTTACTTTTCCTAAGAGTGGAATTGCTCGGTCATGGGATAGGTGAACGTTTTTTCTTAAAAAATTGAAGCATAGTGCCTGGCATGGTGGCTCACGCCTGTAATCCCAGCACTTTGGGAGGCTGAGGTGGGTGGATTGCTTGAGCCCAGGAGTTTGAGACTAGCCTGGGCAGCATGGCAAAAACCCATCTCTAAAAAAATAGAAAAATTAGCCAGGTGTGGTAGCATGCACATGTAGTCCCAGCTACTTGGGAGGCTGAGGTGGGAGGTCAAGGCTACAGTGACCCTTGTCCCACTGCACTTCAGCTTGGGTGACAGAGCAAAACCCTGTCTCAAAAGGAAAAAAAAAAAAGGAAGCGTAGCATCTCTTCAGAAAACTGCATGCATCAGAAGTATTCTGCATTTTCACAAGGTGGACACACCCCATGTAGTCATCACCCAGCTCAAGGGATGGGACCTGGGCCCACGCCAGGCTACTTTGCTGGGCTGTCCACTCCGGGATCTGAAACTTGGCAGAGTGAAGCAAGGGGAGAAAGGATTTTGGAGCCACTACTTCCATAGTGGAAGGTGATGGGACTTGAAGGCCTTAGACTGTTGCAGTTTCCATCAGGGTCTTCAGCCTTCTGATTGGTTCTGAGCTACGAGGTATCCCCAAGGTATTCTGCCAGTACATTCCTTTCTGCTTAAGTCGTGCAGACTTGATTTCTGTTGCTTACAACCCCAGTGGATACAGTGTGCGCAGCCAACTACGAGAACCAAAACTTTAGTGGAGTATACCCCTTGTATTGCTAAAACTGAGGGTGTAATTGACCTTTAACCAATCCCTGAGTTTGTACATGACCCCATTTGGACAGTTGGATTCCTGGGCTGACAATGTGAACTCTCAAACAGGCAGTCACTTTAGATCTGACTTGAAAGTTTGTAACAAACTACTTCAAACATTTGGGACTCGTAAAGTGTTATTTTTTTTTTCTTCCTAACTTTAAATTTAGTTCCCAGTTTTGAAACAATTTTCTCTCAGTCCCCAGTGGGACGTTAATGGAGAACACTGGCTTAATTTAGAAGGTGAGATGTAGGAATGCATGTTCTTTTCTGGACTTAATTTTTGGAAACCAGGTTCATTCCTCTTGCTCCTTGATGTAGAGTGTCAGGGATTAGGTGAGGGGGTGTTTGGTGCAGACCATCCCTTGAGGACTGTTTGCTTAAGAAGGCCCAACACCTAAACTCTTCTGCTCTAAGTGGGGCCTCGTTTAAAAATGAAAAAGGAAATGAATTCTCTTCTGGTTTCTTTTTTCAATGTCATCCAATCACACAGATTAGTGATAAGAAATGGCCCAATTTCAACCGGTCTCTGAATTCTGACAGCTCATGTCCTTGTTAATGTCAGGGTCTGGGGAGCATCTGATTAAGGAGAAGGTGCCATGGGTGAGGTTCACAGATGAATGTGAAACTATCTCTAACCCCAAATCCGTCCAGGCTGGGTCTCGAAGCAGCCGCTCAGTTGCCTGTATTTTCCCAGCGTTCGCCCCTCCCCTCCCCACCACCACCGCCTGTTTTGAGAGCTGATTCCTGCAGTGACCTTTCTTTACCTGCCACTTCCAATCCTGCTGGGGGCTTCCCTCATTTGCAGAAACCACTTCTCGGGGTCCAGTGATGCCCATCTGGACATGAAGACCTTTCTCACACCATCTGGCTTGTTATGACCTTCTACTTCCGACGTGAGCTGAGCAGAAACAAGACATGGTTCTTTGCTATGAAGTCTCTTAGCCCATTCAGACTGCTGTATGAAAATATCATCATCCGGGTGGCTTATAGACAACAGACATTTATTTCTGACGGTTTGGAAGCTGGGAAGTTCAAGATCAAGGTGTGGGCAGATTCTGTGTCTGCTCAGGGCCCATTTCCTGGTTCATAGATGGTGCTTTCTTTCTGTGTCCTCACATGGCAGGAGGGGCCAACGGGCTTCCTTAAAAGCCTCTTTTGTTTATTTATTTTTTTGTGGGAGACCGGAGTTTTATTATTACTCCAATCAGTCTCCCCGAGCATGCAGGGATCAGAGCTTTTAAGGATAACGTGGTGGGTGGGGGAAGCCAGTGAGCCAGGAGTGCTGATTGGTCAGAGATGAAATCACAGCAAGTCAAAGCTGTCTTCTTGTGCTCGGTCAGTTCCTGGGTGGGGACCTCAAGATCAGATGAGCCAGTTTATTGATCTGGGTGGTGCCAGCTGATCCATCAAGTGCAGGGTTTCCAAAATATCTCAAGCGCTGATCTTAGGAGCAGCTAGGGAGGGTCAGAATCTTGTAGCCTCCAGCTGCATGACTGCTAAACCATAATTTCTAATCTTGGGGCTAAAGTTAGTCCTACAAAGGCAGACTAGTCCCCGGGGAAGAAGGAGGTCTGCTTTGGGAAAGGGCTGTTACCGTCTTTGTTTAAACTATAAACTATAAACTAAGTTTCTCCTAAAGTTAGTTCAGCCTACGCCCAGGAATGAACAAGGGCAGCTTGGAGGTTAGGAGCAAGACGGAGTCGGTCAAGTTAGATCTAACACTGTCTCAGTCATCATTTGGCAACAGTGGTTTGAGTCCCTCCCTTTGGGTTTTATAACACCTTAATCTTAAGGGGTAGAAAAGCCCCTTTTACAAGAACACTAATCCCATTTATGAGGACCTTGCCCATACGACCTAATCACCTCCTAAAGGCCCCGCCTCCTCATGCCTTGGGGTGTTAGGGTTTCAATACGGGAGCTTTCGCGGGTCGCAAACATTCAGACCACAGCGGTCTATCGTGGGGATACTGCTGAGGAGGTAACTGCTTTGAGCGTCTTGCTCGGCGAGAGCTGCAGGTAGTTCTGGATGTGGTGGGTCTGCCTAGAAGGAGCTTTTTGTGTGGTTTGTTGGTAACTTTCTAATGAATGGAATTAACATTATTGGTTTATTATGGTGCTTTTTAACCAGGTGGAAGACAAGTGCCGCCATGAGGGGCACCTCTTCTGATCCTGCACAGAAGCACCGTGAGGGCTGGGCTGGCCTCAGACTCCTCACAAACCCCTCTTCAGGTTTCAGCATCAGAGGGTGAACAGAGTCACCCTTGGCAGAGGGATTGGGAACTAATTTAGCAAAGGGGGAAACTTGGGAGTAAAAAGGCCCTATATCGAATCAAAATTTCCTTTACGGAACTGAAAATTTCCATCAGGGTCATGCTCCAAGTCAGAGTAGAAAGGACAGGCCAAGGGGGCAGCCAGGACTCACCTGCGGGGTGACCTCACTTTGCACAGACCTGGTGTCCAGGGCCCAGGCTCGCCTCGTCACTTGAGTCTGGGTGTCATTGAGGCAGTAAGCAGGGTTAGCTCCTGGGACAGGTGAGGGTGCCTCCCCCTGCCCCCGCCAGTCCAGCCCCACAACGGAGGAAGAACTGCAGATTTTCATCTGTGCAGATGAACTCAGGCCCAGTGGTGGAATTGGTGAGGGGGAAGGTGGAGAAGGACAAAGCCTAACTCAGCAAAGCGCCTACTGTGTGCCTGGCATGGTACTCCGCGCTTAGTACACTCTGGGCTACTCCAGGAGCTGCTGGCACCAGAGATGAGTTGCGGGACTGTAGGATTCTGGGAACTTTATTCTGTAAGTACAGAGGAGGCTGGTGGATCTGCCTATGGAACTCATCTGGACCCAATTGTGGGCCACATGAAGACCTTCGCCAGCACTCACTCCCAGCCTTCAGACTCACAGGGGCATATGTCTTAGCCATCGATTGCCACCATATTGGGATGCAACAAGCTGCCCCAAACCCACTGGCATATGACAGTGAGCATTTATTTCCCTCTCACGTAGCTCGGAGTTGGGTGAGGTTTGGCTGACCTAGGCTGCCCGCAGGAGGACTTGGCTGACTTCAAGCTCCAAGTGGGTTTAGGTCTGTTCCATGTGTCTCTGATCCCATTTGGACCAGAGACCACCCAAGGCCTGTTCTGTCTCATGGTGACAGGAGGAGCACAGAGACCACCCAAGGCCTGTTCTGTCTCATGGTGATAGGAGGAGCACAAGAGACCACCCAAGGCCTGTTCTGTCTCATGGTGATAGGAGGAGCACAAGAGACCACCCAAGGCCTGTTCTGTCTCATGGTGACAGGAGGAGCACAAGAGACCACCCAAGGCCTGTTCTGTCTCATGGTGACGGGAGGAGCACAAGAGACCACCCAAGGCCTGTTCTGTCTCATGGTGACAGGAGGAGCACAAGAGACCACCCAAGGCCTGTTCTGTCTCATGGTGACGGGAGGAGCACAAGAGACCACCCAAGGCCTGTTCTGTCTCATGGTGACGGGAGGAGCACAAGAGACCACCCAAGGCCTGTTCTGTCTCATGGTGACGGGAGGAGCACAAGAGACCACCCAAGGCCTGTTCTGTCTCATGGTGACGGGAGGAGCACAGAGACCACCCAAGGCCTGTTCTGTCTCATGGTGACAGGAGGAGCACAGTGAGGACCAGCTCAATCGTACATGTACATTTCCAGCCTTTTTTCACATCATATTCACTAACATCCCATTAGCTAACACAAGGCTCACAGCCAACCTCAACACAGGGCAGGGATGTACACTGCCTACTTGTAGGCCCTGGCATGGTGTGGCTGTTTACACCACTGCAGGGAGTGAGAAGCTGAGACCAGTCATGTAGCCTACTCTAGGATGAGTGTCAGTCGTTCGCTCAGTAAATATTTATTGAGAGTTCATAGTGTGCCAGGCGTTGAGCAGCTTCGGGCAACAGAATGGTGAACAAGGCAGGCCTGGTTCTTCTTGCCTTATGGAACTTACATTCTAGTGATGGGAAAATACAGGAAAGAGCTCTGTCCATCATTAATTGTTTAATTACAACTGTGATAATCACTACAAAGGGGAATTATGGAGGAACGAGGTGCCGGTATCAAAGGGCCTGGCCTGGGCCAGGGAGGAAGATACGGTTGAATTCAGAATTGAAGGTGAGTGTTAATGAGGCAGGGAACACTCATGAAGATTAATAGCACAGCTGACTTCTCATCTGAAGCCCTGGAAAGCAGGAGGCAGTGGGTGGCACAGCCAAAGTGCTGAAAGAATTTAAAAAATTCTTTAAAGAATTCTATATCCACAAAAAACTATCCTTCAAAAGAGGCCGGGTGTGGTGGCTCATGCCTGTAATCCCAGCACTTTGGGAGGCCCAGGCCGGGGGATCACGAGGTCAGGAGATCAAGACCATCCTGGCAAACATGGTGAAACCCCGTCTCTACTAAAAATACAAAAAAAAATTAGCCGGGTGTGGTGGCGGGCGCCTGTAGTCCCAGCTGCTCAGGAGGCTGAGGCAGGAGAATCGTGTGAACCCAGGAGGCGGAGCTTGCAGTGAGCCGAGATCGCACCACTGCACTCCAGCCTGGGCGACAGAGCGAGACTGCGTCTCAAAAAAAAAAAAGGAGAAATTAAGACATCCTAGATTAATATAATAAAAACAGAGAGAATTTGTCACTGGCAGGCATGGCCTATAAGAAATCCTAAAGAGAATCCTTCAGGCCGACATGAAAGGGCACTAGGCGGTGACTGAAATCCATATGACGATACAAGGAGCATCTAAAGGGGTGAGTATATTCTGCTAGTAATTCTTCTGTCTGATTGAAAAGATAACTGCGGAAAGCAATGCTTGTTAAAACTTTGTTGATGGGCTTATAATGCACCAAGATATAATTTGTATAACAATAATAGCACAAAGGAGTGGAGGGGACAGAGCGATGTTGGAGCAAAGGTTTTGTGTACTATTGCAATTAGGTCAGTATTAGTCCAGGTTAGATTGTTTTAAATTAAAATGTTAATTGTAGTCTCCAAGGCAACCATTAAGAAAATAACTTTAAAAAATGGAAGAGGAGCATTAAGGGTTATGCTAGAAAATACGTATTCAACACAAAAGAAGGCAGAAATGGGAAAATATAGGAATAAAAAGACAAGACATATGGAAAGCAACTAGCAAAATGGCATAAATCCTATCTTATCTGTAATTACATTAAATACAAATGAACTAAATTCTCCAATAAAAAGAGCATGGCAGAACGGATTTACAAGAGACACACTTTAGATTCAAAGACACAAATGTGTGTAAAGTAAAAGGACAGAAAAAGATATTCCGTTCAAGCAGTAACCGAAAGAGTGGTGAAGTGGCTCCACAAGTAGCAGACAAAATAGGCTTTAAGGCAAAAATTGTTACTAGGGACAAACAGGGACATTTTATAATGACAAAGGAGTCAACCTATCAGGAAAGCCTAATAATTATAAAGCTGTATGCACCTAACAAGAGACCCCCAAAATACATGAACCAAAACCAACAGAAATGAAGGGAGAAATACAAAATCCAACAATAATCGTTGGAAGCTTCAAGGTCCCACTTTCAATAATGGATAGAATGAGTAGGCAGAGAACCAACAATGAGATAGACTTGAAAACACTGTAAATCAACTGGACCTAACAGACATCTGCAGAACTCTCCACCCAGCAACCGCAGGATGCAGGTTCTTCTCACGTGCCCGGGAGGACAGGCATCTGCAGAACACGCCACCCAGCAACCGCAGGATGCACGTTCTTTTCATGTGCCTGGGAGGACAGACATCTGCAGAACACGCCACCCAGCAATCGCAGGATGCAGGTTCTTTTCACGTGCCCGGGAAGACAGACATCTGCAGAACTCTCCACCCAGCAACCGCAGCATGCACATTCTCACATGCCCGGGAGGACAGACATCTGCAGAACTCTCCACCCAGCAACCGCAGGACGCACGTTCTTCTCACGTGCCCGGGAGGACAGGCATCTGCAGAACATGCCACCCAGCAATCGCAGGATGCAGGTTCTTTTCACGTGCCCGGGAGGACAGACATCTGCAGAACTCTCCACCCAGCAACCGCAGGACGCACGTTCTTCTCACGTGCCCGGGAGGACAGGCATCTGCAGAACACGCCACCCAGCAATCGCAGGATGCAGGTTCTTTTCACGTGCCCGGGAGGACAGATATCTGCAGAACTCTCCACCCAGCAACCGCAGCATTCACGTTCTTCTCACATGCCTGGGAGGACAGACACCTGCAGAACATGCCACCCAGCAGCTGCAGGATGCACGTTCTTCTCACATGCCTGGGAGGACAGACATCTGCAGAACTCTCCACCCAGCAACCACAGCATGCACGTTCTTCTCAAGTGCCTGGGAGGACAGACATCTGCAGAACTCTCCACCCAGCAACCACAGCATGCACGTTCTTCTCAAGTGCCTGGGAGGACAGACATCTGCAGAACTCTCCACCCAGCAACCGCAGGATGCACGTTCTTCTCAAGTGCCCGGGAGGACAGACATCTGCAGAACTCTCCACCCAGCAACTGCAGGATGCACGTTCTTCTCACGTGCCCGGCAGGACAGACATCTGCAGAACACGCCACCCAGCAACCACAGGACGCACGTTCTTCTCACGTGCCCGGGAGGTGTTCTCTGGGAGAGGCCATATGTTAGGCCGTAAAACAAGACTCGGTAATTTTTCTGGTCTTGCTCTGTTTCCCAGGCTGGAGTGCAGTGGCATGATCACGGCTCACTGCAGCCTCAACCCCCCAGGCTCTGGTAGTCCCCCACCTCAGTTCCCAGAAGTAGCTGAGACGGCAGATACGTGCCTTCACGCCTGACTGATTTTTGTTAAGATGAAGTCTCTCTCTGTTACCCAGACTGGAGTGCAGCGGTGCAATCTTGGCAACCTCCGCCTCCTGGGTGCAAGTGATTCTCATGCCTCAGCCTCCTGAGTAGCTGGGATTACAGGTTTGCACCACCAGGCTCAGCTAAGTTTTGTATTTTTGGAGGAGATGGGGTTTTGCTATGTTGGCCAGGCTGGTCTCAAACTCCTGGCCTCAAGCGATCCGCCTGCCTCGGCCTCTCAAAGTGTTAGGATTACAGGCATGAACCACCGCACCTGGCCTTAATAAATTTAAAAGGATTCAAGTCATACAAAGTACGTTCTCTAACTGTAGTAGAATGAAGTTAGATATCAATAAAGGAAATTTGGGAATTCACAAATGTCCAAAGTGAACACACTCCTAAATAACCAATGGGTTGGCTGGGCGTGGTGGCTCACACCTGCAATCCCAGCACTTTGGGAGGCCAAGGTAGGAGGGCTGCTTGAGTCCGGGAGTTTGAGACCAGCCTGGACAATATAGCAAGACCCTGTCTCTAAAAAGAAGAAGAAGAAATCACAGAGAAATTAGAAAGTAGGTTGAGATGAATGAAAATGAAAATATAACCTATCAAAACCTATAAAATGTATAGCTGTGAGAACCTATGTTAAAAAAGAAGAAAAACTTCAAATAAATAATCTTCCACCTTAAGAAACTAGAAAAAGAACAGCAAACTAAACCCAAAGCAAGCAAAAGGAAAGAAATAATAGAGATTAGAGCTGAAAAATGAAATCGTGAATAAAAATACCACTTATTATATGATTCTGTTTATATGAAATGTCCAGATTATGCAAATTAATAAGACAGAAAGCAGATTCGTGACTTCTGGGGACTGTGGAGAAGGGAGGAATGGGAGGGAGTGGCTGCTAATGGGCTTCTTTCTTTCTTTTTTTGAGATGGCATCTCGCTCTGTCACCCAGGCTGAGCGCAGTGGCGCAATCTCGGCTCACTGCAAGCTCCACCTCCCGGGTTCACGCCTTTCTCCTGCCTCAGCCTCCCGAGTAGCTGGGATTACAGGTGACCGCCACCGTGCCTGGCTAATTTTTTGTACTTTTAGTAGAGACAGGGTTTCACCATATTGGCCAGGCTGGTCTCGAACTCCTGACCTCAGGTGATCCTTCCGCCTCGGCCTCCTGAAGTGCTGGGATTACAGGCGTGAGCCACTGTGCCCGGCTGCTGATGGGTTTCTTTGTGGAGTGATGAAAATGTTCTAGAATTAGGTAGCGGTAATGGTGGCACAACCCTGTGACTGTACCAAAAAACCACCGAATTGTAAACTTTGAAAAGGTACATTTTGTGGTTTGTGAATTCTATCTCAATAATGATGTTGACAAAATGAATTTTAAAGAGTTAATTAGGCAAAAGGGGTTGTGGGGAAAGAGTTGGGGGAAGCATTTCCCAGGCAGAAGAATCAGGGTTCCTGGCCCCCAGGGGAAAGCGCGCGGCGTGGAAAGGAAACCTCAGGCCCCTGGGGGAAGGATTTCGCTTGTATCATCAGAACAGTAGGAAGCCACTGGGGCAGTTTCAGGCTGGCAGTTCCGTGACAGGGCTGATGCTTTGTTTTTTATTTTTATTTATTTCTTTTTTAAATGCGCGTTACCTGGCAAGGGCTGACATTTTGGGGAGCTCACTGTGGGGATAGTGAGGAGAAGAGACCAGGGAGGGCCGGGAGTGGATTTGAGGAGGTATCGGCAGCAGCCCAGATGGAGGAGATTACGCTTCGGGAGGTTTATTCAAGGTCACTGTGCTAGATGGACCCGGACCTGGGTCCCTCTGCCACCGAAACCTTTGTTCTCCCCCGGCCACTGATTTGAATACTCCCAGGTATTCTCAGTCAGCTCAGCGTGGCGTGAGGTGGTTTTGCTGGATGGAAGGGTGGTGGGAAAGTGGACATGATATTAATCAGGCCAGCTAGGACTTGCGGCTCACTGGGGCTGGTTGCAAACAGCAGAGGCTGGACAAAAAGGGAACTTTACTGCCAAGGCCCTGGAGTATCTCATAGAAGCAGAGGAAGATTTCAACGCTCAGGCCCCTGGAGGGGCTGAATGGAGCACAAATGCTAGAGGGAGGGGCCCCTCTCTCTGTCCTGCTTCAGCTCCATGTTGGCTCCCCTCTTCTCGGTCTCACTGCAGGCCACCTTTCCGTTTCTGTCAACTGGACATTTCCATGAGGGGAAAATGGCCTCAGCCTCAGTGTGCATCTTACTGCAAAAGGCAGTTGAGTTGAGACTCCGTCTCTTACCCCATTTCCCAGATTCTTTTTGCTTTTTGTCTGTCTATCTGTCATCTATCTATGAAACTCTATGTATATATCCCTGTGTATATCTATCTGTCCGTCCGTCCATCCATCCATCCATCTATCTATCTATGAATGAGACTCATTGCAGCTTCGACCTCCCAGGCTAAAGTGATTCTCCTGCTTCAGTCTCCAGAGTAGCTAGGACCACATGTGTGCACCACCATACCCGGCTACACACCACCAAACCTGGCTACACGCCACCACACCCGGCCACACGCCACCACGCCCGGCCACATGCCACCACGCCCGGCCACATGCCACCACGCCTGGCCACATGCCACCACGCCCGGCCACACGCCACCACACCCGGCCACACACCACCACATCCGGCTGTTTTTTTTTTTTTTTGAGACGGAGTCTCGCTCTGTCGCCCAGGCCGGACTGCGGACTGCAGTGGCGCAATCTCGGCTCACTGCAAGCTCCGCTTCCCGGGTTCACGCCATTCTCCTGCCTCAGCCTCCTGAGTAGCTGGGACTACAGGCGCCCGCCACCGCGCCCGGCTAATTTTTTGTATTTTTAGTAGAGACGGGGTTTCACCTTGTTAGCCAGGATGGTCTCGATCTCCTGACCTCATGATCTACCCGCCTCGGCCTCCCAAAGTGCTGGGATTACAGGCGTGAGCCACCGCGCCCGGCCCCGGCTGTTTTTTTAAATTTTTAGTAGACAAGGCTCTACTGTGTCTCACTGTGTTGCCCAGGCTCGTCTTGAAGTCCTGAGCTCAAGTGATCCTATCTCAGCCTGCCAAAGTGCTAGGATTACAGGTGTGGGCCACTACTCCTGGCCTTACTTTTTTAAAATTTAATTTATTTTTTAAATTTTTCAAGAAAGAGTCTCGCTCTGTTGCGCAGGCTGGAGTGCAGTGGTATGATCGTAGCTCGCTGCAGCCCCAAACTCCCGGACTCAAACGATCCTCTCACCTCAGCCTCCCAAATCACTGGGATTACAGGCGTGAGCCACCATGCCTGACCTATGTTTATTTTTTTGTAGAAATGGGGTTTGACTATGTTGCCCAGGCTGATCTCGAACTCCTGACCTCTAAGCAATCCTCCTTCCTCGGCCTCCCGCAGTGTTGTGATTACAGGAGTGAGCCACCGCGCCCAGCCTTATTTCCCGGATTCTTAAGGGAGGGACCTTGATGTGCCAGTTTGGCTTAGGTGCTCCCCTGGAAGAGCCAGCTGTGCCCCAGGGGACTGGCCGCAGTGTAAACTCAGGGCCTCCGGAGCCCACCCCTGAAGGTGGCTGGACAGCTACAGGAAGGCCAGGGAGGGAAGGAAGGTCGTTGATGGCTGGCGAGGTCAGCTATGGAGGGGAAGGGACATCGTTGATGTGTGGCGAGGTTACCTGTATTCAAAGTCCCCTCCCATTTTCTTCGGATAACCTGCTGCCTGGGATCCGTCGGCCTCTAGGAATAAACCACATGAGACCCTATTTGGTCACTTTGTGTCCGGAATTGGTGGGTTCTTGGTCTCACTGACTTCAAGAATGAAGCCGCAGACCCTCGCGGTGAGTGTTACAGCTCTTCAGGTGGCGCGTCTGGAGTCTGTCCCTTCTGATGTTCAGATGTGTTCGGAGTTTCTTCCCTCTGGTGGGTTCGTGGTCTCGCTGGGCTCAGGAGTGAAGCTGCAGATCTTCGCGGTGAGTGTTACAGCTCATAAAAGCAGCGTGGACCCAAAGAGTGAGCAGTAGCAAGACTTATTGCAAAGAGTGAAAGAACAAAGCCTCCACAGTGTGGAAGGGGACCGGAGCTGGTTGCCAATGCTGGCTCGGACAGCCTGCTTTTATTCTCTTATCTGGCCCCACCTACATCCTGCTGATTGGTAGAGCCAAGCGGCCTGTTTTGTCAGGGTGCTGATTGGTGCGTTTACAATCCCTGAGCTAGATACAAAGGTTCTCCACTCCCCATCAGATTAGTTAGATACAGAGTTTCCACACACAGGTTCTCCAAGGCCCCACCAGAGCAGCTAGATACAGAGTGTCGATTGGTGCATTCACAAACCTTGAGCTAAACACAGGGTGCTGATTGGTGTGTTTACAAACCTTGAGCTAGACATAAAGACTCTCCACCTCCCCACCAGACTGAGGAGCCCAGCTGGCTTCACCTAGTGGATCCCGCACCGGGGCTGCAGGTGGAGCTGCCTGCCAGTCCTGCGCCGTGCACTCGCATTCCTCAGCCCTTGGGTGGTCGTTGGGACTGGGTGCCGTGGAGCAGGGGGCGGCGCTCGTCGGGCAGGCCGGTGAGCCGGCACTGCTGGGGGACTCAGTACACCCTCTGCAGCCGCTGGCCCGGGTGCTAAGTTCCCCATTGTCCGGGGCCAGCAGGGCTGACTCGCTGCTCCGAGTGCGGGGCCCGCCAAGCCCACGCCCACCCGGAACTCCAGCTGGCCCGCAAGCGCCGCACACAGCCCCGGTTCCCACTGGTGCCTCTCCCTCCACACCTCCCTGCAAGCTGAGGGAGTGGGCTCCAGCCTTGGCCAGCCCAGAAAGGGGCTCCCACAGTGCAGCGGAGGGCCGAAGGGCTCCTCAAGTGTCACCAAAGTGGGAGCCCAGGCAGGGGAGGTGCCGAGAGCAAGCGAGGGCTCTGAGGACTGCCAGCACGCTGTCACCTCTCAACTTGAACTGATTGGCAAACTCAGCCCTTCGACTGTGTATCACCCCTCCTTTTTTTTGCCTTCAATTTCAGCACTTGACTGGGCAGGGAACATTCCAGAATTTAGTGTTAATCTTACTAGCTTTGTGAATTCCGTCACTTCCCCCAGAAAAGAAAGGACGGTCCATGCCGCCTGACAAACTTGCTGAAAAGGATTCTTGTTATTGTCATTGACTCACTTTCTCCTGTGATTTAAAACCCAGTGGTGCGGATTCAGGTGCCTGGAAACCCTGGTGACTGTACATGGGCCTGTGATGGGGGACAGGAGATGTCTGTGAGGTCATGTGGGAGGCACACGCAGGGGTCAGGTCTGTGAGGTCATGTGGGAGGCACACGCAGGGGTCAGGTCTGCGAGGTCATGTGGGAGGCACACGCAGGGGTCAGGTCTGCGAGGTCATGTGGGAGGCACACGCAGGGGTCAGGTCTGCGAGGTCATGTGGGAGGAACACGCAGGGGTCAGGTCTGTGAGGTCATGTGGGAGGCACACGCAGGGGTCAGGTCTGTGAGGTCATGTGGGAGGCACACGCAGGGGTCAGGTCTGCGAGGTCATGTGGGAGGCACACGCAGGGGTCAGGTCTGTGAGGTCATGTGGGAGGCACACGCAGGGGTCAGGTCTGTGAGGTCATGTGGGAGGCACACGCAGGGGTCAGGTCTGTGAGGTCATGTGGGAGGCACACGCAGGGGTCAGGTCTGTGAGGTCATGTGGGAGGCACACGCAGGGGTCAGGTCTGTGAGGTCATGTGGGAGGCACACGCAGGGGTCAGGTCTGTGAGGTCATGTGGGAGGCACACGCAGGGGTCAGGTCTGTGAGGTCATGTGGGAGGAACACGCAGGGGTCAGGTCTGTGAGGTCATGTGGGAGGCACACGCAGGGGTCAGGTCTGTGAGGTCATGTGGGAGGCACACGCAGGGGTCAGGTCTGTGAGGTCATGTGGGAGGCACACGCAGGGGTCAGGTCTGTGAGGTCATGTGGGAGGAACACGCTGGGGTCAGGTCTGTGAGGTCATGTGGGAGGAACACGCAGGGGTCAGGTCTGTGAGGTCATGTGGGAGGAACACGTTGGGGTCAGGTCTGTGAGGTCATGTGGGAGGCGCACGCAGGGGTCAGGTCTGTGAGGTCATGTGGGAGGAACACGTTGGGGTCAGGTCTGTGAGGTCATGTGGGAGGCGCACGGAGGGGTCAGGTCTGTGAGGTCATGTGGGAGGAACACGCAGGGGTCAGGTCTGTGAGGTCATGTGGGAGGCACACGGAGGGGTCACCTGCCCCAGCGCCCCACGGTTTCCAGCCTTGGCCTGTCCTCTTTCACCTGGCCCACGGGTGATGCGTGCTGTGCTGGCCTTTCTGCAGGGGACAGTGCGGTCAGGGGACTGCTGTGGGCTGTCAGAGCCCCAGCCCTTTGCTCCATACCAGGGCAGCCGTTTCCAGTCCTGAGGGTTTTTGCGACTGATCCTGGCTGGGACTTGCTTCTTACTAGGAGAAGCAAGAGATCCAAGTCCTTCAGTCAGACGCTGCTCTCAGACATCAGAGGGGCAGGACACTGAATGCAGATGTGGGTTCTGAGGGCTCCTTTCTCTTTGAATTCCTGCAGCATTTAGTAGGAGGCCGTGCGGCTTGGTGTCTTATTATTTATCGTTGAACGCGGGCTGCCTGGAGTGTTGTCTCCAATGCTAATAATGAGGCCAGTGTCGTGCGTGAGGCTGGTGTTGACGGCGCTGTCAGGAACCTCCCATGTAATTTCTGTTACCACCAGGGGAAGTGAGCAGCGCAGATTAGATGATAGACATTTAATAATTGATAAAGCCTCAGATTGGCCGGGGTAAGGACTTGCGGGGATGTGTGTGTGTGTAACTTGTTTCCCTTCACAGTCATGTAGCTGGTCCGAGCTGGGACTGAGAGCCTGGCTTCTGATCTCTAACTCCAGACTCTGTTCATGACAGAATGCAGCTAACTGTATTCTGAATTCTTTGAGCAAAGTTGTCTCATTCTGCGTTGGTATTTCCTGTCTGTCATTTATTCATCTATCCATTTATTCCTCTATCTTGTTCCATAAATGAATTGAGGGTGCTTACAAGAATATATGTATATCTCTCTATATATTTTATTTATATAAGAAATATAAAGGCTGGGTGCAGTGGCTCGTGCCTGTAATCCCAGCACTTTGGGAAGCTGAGGCAAGAGGATTGCCTGAGCCCAGGAGTTCAAGACCAGCGTAGGCAACATAGTGAGACCCTGTCTCTGAAAAAAAAAAAAGGGAGAAGAAATATAAAAAATAAATATAAAAAGACATGTTAATGGCTGGGCATGGTGGCTCGTGCCTGTAATCCCAGCACTTTGTGGGGGGCAGGGCAGGCAGATCGCTTCAGTCCAGGAGTTTCAGCCAAGCCTGGGCAACATAGTGAGACCCTGTCTCTATTTTTTAAAGTAAGATATATTCATAATATATCTATATATCTAAAAGATACATTCATAGAAAAAAAGTAAAGTAGGTATTACATACCA
The DNA here is from genome assembly GCF_000001405.40 of Homo sapiens. Classification (NCBI taxonomy): domain Eukaryota; kingdom Metazoa; phylum Chordata; class Mammalia; order Primates; family Hominidae; genus Homo; species Homo sapiens. The sequence goes on along the minus strand of NW_003315952.3, from coordinate 332,391 downwards.
GACCTATATGTAGATATTTTATATTTATATATGTATGTATGTCTGTTTATATATGTCTATACATATATGTGTGTATGTATATGGACATGTAACTAAATAGAGATCAAAAAAATAAGATCAGGAAAGACATAGATGTAGATTAGCTAGAAGGTTGAAAGCAGGGGGAGAGTTAGACCCCCTATTCAGGCCATCGAGCTGTATATACTTTGCTGTGTTTGAACCACACATTTAGCTCTGAGCTAATGAGCAGTCAAAGCAGGAAAAAAAAATCAGTGACGTGGTTCACGTGGCCCATAAGGAAAGGGCACCAGATACTGAATGCTCGTCCAGGCAATTAGACCTGAAGGAGATTTCTTGCCTGAGTGGTCATTTGCGGAGCCCTGGGTGACAAGGAAAATACGTGGCAAATGTGCCTCTCTGTCTTCTGCCGTCCCCTGGCAGACGCCACCAGTCGATCAGGGCTCTTTCCCACCGAGCCCAGGGGCGGCCTCGCTGCGCTTCCATGCGTGGTGCTCCGGGGCTGGAGTCTGCAGGCGAGACAAAACCCGCTTGCTGTCCAGCCCGAGGGCCGCTGGTGGTGTCAGGGAGGCCATGAGGGGTTCTGAGCGGAGAGCCCCTTGAGTCCTGGTAAGCGCCTCTGCGAGGGTGACACAGGTGGGCCCCGTAGCAGGCGTGTGGGCTGGGAAACGCGTCTGGGTGCCAGTCGGAGTGACCCACAGGGTGATGAGGGTGGGGAAGTTGTGTCTGGAGCGACACGGGGCACGCGCTTGGGATTTCTGGCTTGTTAGCCACTCATTTGTTCCACGCATGTTTAGCAAACACCGATTTTGTGTCTGGAAAGCGTGCCCGACTCACTCCGCTCACACCTCTGGCCTCAGAGTCTCCTCCCCCAGCTCCTCTGTCCGCACGGACACTCGCCTCTCACATCACCTACACCTTTCTATCCCAGCCTATATCGCCGCTTATCCTGACGTGTTTACTAATGTTTATTTGCTTCGTGTTTTGTTTTTGTTGTTTCTCTCCAAGATGGGAGTTCCAGGGTGGCAGGGACAGTGTCTGTCTTGCTCATCATTGTGTCCCCAGTCCTAGCATGGGGTCTGGCACATAGTAGGTGCTCAATTAGTATTTGTGGAATGAATGAATAAAAGAATAAAAAGGTTACAGAGATGAGCCCAGTAGAAGATAAGCACATAAACAAATACAGCATAAGCTCAGTACGAAGGAGAGGGACGAGTAAATAGTTAAAGGACTTCGGGGTGGGAGAGGCTCCTTCCAGGAGGATGAGGAGGTCCAGAAAGGCCTCCTGGTGGAGGACATTTGCTGGGTCCAGAAGGATGAGGTGGAGGGAGGGGCACCTGGGGCCCTGGGGATAGCAGGAGCAAAGGCAGAGGCAGACCTGGAGGGGAGAAAAACCAGATTTTACTTGGGGTGCTCCTAGGGCGGTGGCGGGGAGGAGCAGCCACCCAGGAAGGGTGGATCTGAGGCAGCTGCGGGAGCTCTGCACAGCAGGCTGACTGGGCAGGAGGCGGAGAAGCAGATACGAGTGGAGTGCAGGGGGAGAGGGGCCTTAGGCAGGCAAGGCAGGAAAGAGAAGAGCTAGGGGAACTGGGCAGGCCCGAGTGTGGCCCGGGGGTGGTGGAGGCAATACCCGGGGAGAATGCACAGCCTTTACTCCCTGACTGCGTTTATATTCTGCCTCTCCCGTGCCTGTTGGTCCTTGGGGACGGCCCTCTGGCAGGCTCTGGCCTCAGGACCCCGCACCAGCCCCGGCCGTGCCAGCTGCCCTCCCACTGGCCTGGCCCAGCTCTCCAGAGAGGCTTCATGCAGCCAGTTCCCCAGGGAACACCGTTGCCCACACGTTGCTAATGTTAAAACATGAATTTATTGCATCTGTAGCATCTTACCTTGAGCACGGCTTCTTTCAATGCTTTTATTTTGCAATTATAGGTTTATTTTCTTCCTTTCCTCTCTCTTGAGCTTTTTAAGGTGTTTTCTGTCACTCAGCTGGAGACTTTAAATTTCCTATTTATATTAATTATCAAATTATTTCATATATGAGTCATTCAGCTCAGCCCTTTTTGGCTCCTTCTTGCAACTCTTACTTGTGGATTTATCGGGCAGTTCAGCGCCTACTTTCATGGGCAGACTCAACTGGCGAGATTTTAACTGGAGGGTGAGAGATGTCCTGGCCACGGGGCCCTGTTGCTCACAGTCCCTGGATCAGAGGATGGTGCCGGATGGGCAGGTGCTGAGGATGCACATACCGCCCTCGGGTTAGCACCGAAGGTTCTTGTGTCAGACGTGAGGCTTCCTTCCTGGGTTCTTTCTGGCTGCGCTAGTCCAGAAGACCAGCAAACCCGAGATGGTCTGAGGTGGACGATGGAGCCTGAATGGAGAGCCTGGGGCGTGAGCCAGGGTCTGGGATACCCTGGGACAGAGTTAGATGCCCCTGCAGACGTGGATGAGCGGCTGAAGACTAAGGGAGCAGGTCACACGTGGTGACAGACAGGAGAGGCTGCTGTGCCATCCAGGGGCTGGGGAAGGAGCCCCCGTGGAGAGGCTCCATTTCGGCCACGTGGCTGCTGCAGACAACCGGGAGTCAGCGTCGGCACAAACACGGGTGCCTCGAAAGAGAGCAGTGCCGGCCTGGTGTCTCCGGGCCCAGCTGCCACTGGCACAGGCCTCCGAAGGGGCAGGAGCAGGAGCAGGAGCAGAAAGCGCACATCAGGGCTCATGCTGTGCCTGTGAAGATGTCGGGCACGTCCGTTAGTGTGTGTGGTGCGCGGTCGCCTGTGAAGACGACTGTTAGTGTGTGGTGCGTGGTCGCCTGTGAAGACGACTGTTAGTATGTGTGGTCTACGGTCGCCTGTGAAGATGACTGTTAGTATCTGTGGTGCGCGGTCGCCTGTGAAGACGACTGTTAGTATGTGTGGTCTATGGTCGCCTGTGAAGACGACTGTTAGTATCTGTGGTGCGCGGTCGCCTGTGAAGATGACTGTTAGTAAGTGTGCACGGTCGCCTGTGAAGACGACTGTTAGTAAGTGTGGTGCACGGTCGCTTGTGAAGGCGACTGTTAGTGTGGTGCAAGGTCGCCCGTGAAGACGACTGTTAGTATGTGTGGTGCGCGGTCGCCTGTGAAGACGACTGTTAGCAAGTGTGGTGCGCGGTCGCCTGTGAAGACGACTGTTAGCAAGTGTGGTGCGCGGTCGCCTGTGAAGACGACTGTTAGCAAGTGTGGTGCGCGGTCGCCTGTGAAGACGACTGTTAGCAAGTGTGGTGCGCGGTCGCCTGTGAAGACGACTGTTAGCAAGTGTGGTGCGCGGTCGCCTGTGAAGACGACTGTTAGCAAGTGTGGTGCGCGGTCGCCTGTGAAGACGACTGTTAGTATGTGTGGTGCGCGGTCGCCTGTGAAGACGACTGTTAGTATGTGTGGTGCGCGGTCGCCTGTGAAGACGACTGTTAGTATGTGTGGTGCGCGGTCGCCTGTGAAGACGACTGTTAGTATGTGTGGTGCGCGGTCGCCTGTGAAGACGACTGTTAGTATGTGTGGTGCGCGGTCGCCTGTGAAGACGACTGTTAGTATGTGTGGTGCGCGGTCGCCTGTGAAGACGACTGTTAGTCAGTGTGGTGCGCGGTCGCCTGTGAAGACGACTGTTAGTAAGTGTGCACGGTCGCCTGTGAAGACGACTGTTAGTAAGTGTGGTGCACGGTCGCTTGTGAAGGCGACTGTTAGTGTGGTGCAAGGTCGCCCGTGAAGACGACTGTTAGTATGTGTGGTGCGCGGTCGCCTGTGAAGACGACTGTTAGCAAGTGTGGTGCGCGGTCGCCTGTGAAGACGACTGTTAGCAAGTGTGGTGCGCGGTCGCCTGTGAAGACGACTGTTAGCAAGTGTGGTGCGCGGTCGCCTGTGAAGACGACTGTTAGCAAGTGTGGTGCGCGGTCGCCTGTGAAGACGACTGTTAGCAAGTGTGGTGCGCGGTCGCCTGTGAAGACGACTGTTAGCAAGTGTGGTGCGCGGTCGCCTGTGAAGACGACTGTTAGTATGTGTGGTGCGCGGTCGCCTGTGAAGACGACTGTTAGTATGTGTGGTGCGCGGTCGCCTGTGAAGACGACTGTTAGTATGTGTGGTGCGCGGTCGCCTGTGAAGACGACTGTTAGTATGTGTGGTGCGCGGTCGCCTGTGAAGACGACTGTTAGTATGTGTGGTGCGCGGTCGCCTGTGAAGACGACTGTTAGTATGTGTGGTGCGCGGTCGCCTGTGAAGACGACTGTTAGTATGTGTGGTGCGCGGTCGCCTGTGAAGACGACTGTTAGTATGTGTGGTGCGCGGTCGCCTGTGAAGACGACTGTTAGTATGTGTGGTGCGCGGTCGCCTGTGAAGACGACTGTTAGTCAGTGTGGTGCGCGGTCGCCTGTGAAGACGACTGTTAGTCAGTGTGGTGCGCGGTCGCCTGTGAAGACGACTGTTAGTCAGTGTGGTGCGCGGTCGCCTGTGAAGACGACTGTCAGTGTGGTGCGCGGTCGCCTGTGAAGACGACTGTTAGTCAGTGTGGTGCGCGGTCGCCTGTGAAGACGACTGTTAGTCAGTGTGGTGCGCGGTCGCCTGTGAAGACGACTGTTAGTCAGTGTGGTGCGCGGTCGCCTGTGAAGACGACTGTTAGTCAGTGTGGTGCGCGGTCGCCTGTGAAGACGACTGTTAGTCAGTGTGGTGCGCGGTCGCCTGTGAAGACGACTGTTAGTGTGTGTGGTGCGCGGTCGCCTGTGAAGACGACTGTTAGTGTGTGTGGTGCGCGGTCGCCTGTGAAGACGACTGTTAGTGTGTGTGGTGCGCGGTCGCCTGTGAAGACGACTGTTAGTGTGTGTGGTGCGCGGTCGCCTGTGAAGACGACTGTTAGTGTGTGTGGTGCGCGGTCGCCTGTGAAGACGACTGTTAGTGTGTGTGGTGCGCGGTCGCCTGTGAAGACGACTGTTAGTGTGTGTGGTGCGCGGTCGCCTGTGAAGACGACTGTTAGTGTGTGTGGTGCGCGGTCGCCTGTGAAGACGACTGTTAGTGTGTGTGGTGCGCGGTCGCCTGTGAAGACGACTGTTAGTGTGTGTGGTGCGCGGTCGCCTGTGAAGACGACTGTTAGTGTGTGTGGTGCGCGGTCGCCTGTGAAGACGACTGTTAGTGTGTGTGGTGCGCGGTCGCCTGTGAAGACGACTGTTAGTGTGTGTGGTGCGCGGTCGCCTGTGAAGACGACTGTTAGTGTGTGTGGTGCACGGTCGCCTGTGAAGACGACTGTTAGTAAGTGTGGTGCACGGTCACACCTTCCCACACAGTGCAGGTGACTTACTCAGGGCTCTGGATGGCAAATGACAAGGACCCAATTCAAACTAGCATAAGCAAAAAGGCAGCTCTGTGGGCCTGGCACCTGGGGATCAAAACAGTCGTTCAGGCACGGCTGGATCCAGCCATTGACCATGGGTATGAGGTGACTCACCTTCATCTCTCAGCTCTGTTTAGCTGCACCGGCAGACAGGCCGTTTCAAGGGGGAGCCAGGTGGCTACTGGCCATCGTGAGCTAGTGCCGTGCTTACCGTCCCAGACAGTGGGTTTATTGCACAGGAACTCTGGCAAGACCCCAGGAGGACTCAGTATGGCTGGGTCTGGGTCACATGCCCAGCCCTGAGCCAATTACCCTGCCTTGGGGGTGGGGCTATTCTAATTGGTCATCCTCATCACATTCACCCAGGAAGAAGGGGAAGGAGGGGCTGTTTCTCTTGCCCAGGAAGACTGGGCGTGACTACTTTGACCTGAAGAGTTATTCTCAAAAAGGAAAGGAATGCTGGGTAGACAAAATATATGCCCATTGCAGAAGGCCAGCAGGGGCCCCTGGCCTTCGCTTTGCTAAAGGTGGCAGGTGCACAGCTGTCCGGACCCTGGAGCTCAGTGTGAGGAGTGTAAAGGTGTAGAAGGTGCCGTCTGTGCAGCAGTGTGGCGGCGTTCTGCCTTTCTCAGCTGAATGGAAGACAAACACTCAGGCCTCTTCACACCTTCGTGACTGGTCCCCCCTGGACCTTTGCGCAGAGCTGGCCTTTCCATGAAGCAAACTCTGGGCACATGTGGAAACCAGCCTCTTGCTGCCATGCCTGCCCCAGGGACTGACCAGGGTCGGCTCCAGTCACTGACATAGTTTATCACATCTCTTTGGCCTCTGGTCTCTGGATCCACACCTCTGGCTCTGACGTCTGCATCGAGCCCCTGTCCCTGCTGGGTTCAAGTCTCTTTTCCAGAAGCTTCACTTGGCTCGAGGCTCCACTTGATTTGGTGTCATTTGCGTTTCTGAGCTTGGTCCTCCCGACCTGTGGTCCTGCCAGGGGAAGAGCAGCGTGGCCTGGCTGGACCCTGGCAAAGGAGGCTTCTCTTCTGCATTTCTTCTACACGGAGTGCATGAGCAGGACAAAGACCAGCTGATTCCTGCAGGCCTGGGGCTGTGGTGTGCGGGTCTCCCACAGGCCTTGGTATGTGTGTGGTGTGTGGTCCCGCACACTCAGAGATGGCTTCCAGCACATTCCACACTTTCTTTCTTTCTTTCTTTTTTTTTTGAGTCGGAGTCTCGCTCTGTTGCCCAGGCTGGAGTGCAGTGGCGCGATCTCGGCTCACTGCAAGCTCCGCCTTCCGGGTTCAAGCGATTCTCCTGCCTCAGCCTCCCGAGTAGTTGGGACGACAGTTGCCCACGACCATGTCTGGCCAAGCCTCAGCCTTCCCAAGTGCTAGGGTTACAGGCGTGAGCCACTATGCCTGGCCTACCCATGAATTTTATTTTATTTTTCAAATTTTAAGGCGAGGTCTCACTCTGTCACCTAGGCTGGAGTACGGTGGCTAGATCATGGCTCACAGCAGCCTCAAACTCCTAGACTCCAGCCACCCTCCCACCTCAGCCTCCTGAATGGCTGGGGCTACAGACATTTGCCACCACACCTGGCTAATTTTTGTATTTTCAGTAGAGATGGGTTTTTACTATGTTGGCCAGGCTGGTCTCGAACTCCTGACCTTAGGTGATCCACCCGCCTCGGCCTCTGGAGTAGCTGGGGTTACAGGAGTGAGCCACCGTGCCAGTCCTCCTTCCACCCTTTCATATAACCAGCAGCGCATATCAGCACTTCTCAACATCTTTACTGCAGGACCTTTTCTTCAAATGAAATCTTACCTGGAAGCCTGACAGATGACGAGGAAAAAGCTGAGTTGCTCTGGGTTGGGCTGTAATAACCCCCTTGTTCCCAGCCCCCTGCTTCTGCTTGCACGGTCCTGAAGAGGGGCTCCACACCCCTGGCTCCTTGGAACCCAGTTTGTTGGGCTGTAATAACCCCCTTGTTCCCAGCCCCCTGCTTCACCTGCACAGTCCTGAAGAGGGGCTCCACACCCCGGCTCCTTGGAACCCAGTTTGAGAGCCTCTTGGCAGTTATATCCATCTGTCTGTCTCTCTTGTGGTAGCACCTGCTGCTGCTCCCCATGGGGAAAGGTTGCTGATGGTGTTTATTTTTTTTTTAAGCATGAAAACATTTTCTTTTTTCTATCAGTAGCTTGTTTGCACTATGAAAAGGTCAACAGAGAGATCCTTGTCATCTTCCTTCTCCCTGCAGGAGGGTGTCAGGGTGTAAGTGCTCCCTCGCTGTGCAGGGGTTCATTTCATTCATTTCATTACCCTTGCCCTCCTCGAGGTACCTCCGGGAAGCTGTTCCATTTACACATCCGTCAAGTTCTCTGTGCGTCAATTTGCCTTGCTCCTGAAGAGCCACACCCAAAAGGGGCCCCACTCCAGGCAGCTGGGGCTTCAGGAAGCGATGAGATGCTGACGCAGGCCCCATGCACCACCACTGCTGCCTGTAAGGGCTGTTTTGGATACAGAAAATGTGCCCTTTCTAACCCAAAAAATGCTTGAAATGTGTAAAAGTGGCCAGACTAACAGTCCCAAAGAGGGCTGCCCTCTAAGAGGAAGCGTCCCAAATCTGTTCAGTTTTAGAGACTACGTGACTGGGGTACGTGGTGGGGCCTTACCAGACATCCACGAGGAGAATCCAGGCCTTGGTTTGGCTCCAGCTGGGCCTGCCTGGTGGCTGCCACTTATTGACTTAAGTCCCAGTGATTCAGCTCCTCATCTGGAACACCTCGGGTCACCCCCGACAACGGTGGTGGGAGGGAGAGCGGCCTCCTCCTCCCTGGTGGGGCCTGTCTGGGTGAAGCCCCTCTGTTCCCGGTAGGTGTTTCGGGGTCTCATGGCTCCAAGGACATTGGAAGATGCCTCTGTTTTCCTGGAGTCAGGGGCCCAGTTCATGCAGGGGTTTTCACAGAACTTTGCTAACTTCCGGGGAAAAGGTTTGTGTCTTTGCTGGGAGAGCGTCTGGTTAATCGTTGACTGGAAACTTGCTTTTCCAGGCTGCCCCAGGTCCTGCTGCTTCTAAAGAAGAGGCAGCCGGGGCTGGAGAACAGCCTCGTGCCGCAGGTCCTGCTGCTTCTAAAGAAGAGGCAGCCGGGGCTGGAGAACAGCCTCATGCCCCGCTGGTGCCTCCGTTGCTCTTTCTGTGTGGTCCTTTGAAACACCCCAGTGGACAGAGATGGATTTGGGGGAGTGGGGCAGAGGGGTTGTGCGCTAGCAGCAGATGGGCCTGGGGTCAGGCAGAGAATGGGGGCCACGCATCGGAGCAGACCAGAGCGTGCTGTTGGAGAGCTGTTTGTATTGCGTGTTATGCTGCGTGCAAGACTGGCTCAGGGGCTGCAGCAGGCTCTGTGCTCCCTACCCTGGGATACTCACATTTGGTGACAAGTCCCCAGATAACTGTGAGATGGGGCCGAAAAACCCAGGGGCCACAAAGAAAGCAGAACATAAAGTGCCAAGGCCACGCGTCTTAGAGCAGGAGGGGATTTTTGAAGATTTTGGAAGGCCGCGTGGCCAGTTGACTTGGTCAGGAGCAGTTGAAGTTGTCAGGATGTAAGCACGGCCTGTACGCACATGCAGGGGCCCGTTTCGGGACCCTTGTCCCTCGAGGTGCTGTTCCATTTACAACCTGTATATAGGTTTACCTCGTCAGGCACATGGACAAGCATTTAAAAATGTTTTCCTGATGATTTATTTTCATGTGTATTAGAGCATAACTTGTTTTTTTTCATCTGCCTTCTATTTGTGGCATATGGCATGGTTTTTCTATTTATGGTGGAGATATACAGTTTCCTTTGAAAATAAATTTGTTCAAGTAAAAGAGTGGGTTGATTTAAAGGGAAATATTAAGTAAAGAATCGTACGGGAGCCACGTGGGGATGGCTGGTGGCGTGTGGAGGCCTGTGCTTTGGAAATTGCGTGCTGGAGGAATTCAGAGACAAGAAAAAGAGAGGCTCATGGAAGAGACAGGCGGGGTGCAGGAGGAGTGAGACTCAGCTAGGTGGAGATGGGAGGTGGGTCTGTACTTACAGGTCCAGACATGTGGGTACGATTCTTGGTGTAATCTATTTTGGTTGCAGCAGGTGAGTCCTGTAGGGAACAGAGGGTAGGTGTGGGACTATATTGTGGAGGACCGTCAGTCTCAGGGTGTGGCCTCTGAACTTTTCAGGAGGCAGTGGGAGCTATTGAGGGTGCTTGAGGAGGGGAGTGTTTCTTGACAGTCCTTGAAGAGTCTCGTTTATGTGTAGTGGATACCAGGACTGGAGGCAGATGACCAGTTAAGGGCCCAGGTAAAGAGGGTTTAAGAAGCCAAACTAGGGCCATAGCCAAGGACAAGCAACCCAGCCACCCAGGACATCTCTTACTGGCTTGGGGGGCAGCCTAGAGACGTTGGAGAGAGGTAGGTCGGAGGTAGACAAGCTGAGCCTTGGCCCTCTGTGGGGAGGCCGTGGGTGATGGGCAGGGGTACAGGTCAGAAGTTGTACATGGAGTCCTAGAAGGGGGGAGCATCTTCTCCTGGCTGGGCTGGGAGGAGATGCTAAGAGCTACTCAGTGACCTCTTCCTGGAGTCTCCTGGCCTATCATGGAATGTTCTGGAATGTTGTCGGGGAAGTGGGTGCGGCCAGCTGAAGGAAGCTCCTCTCTGGGCCAGAGTTCAGACAGGAGGAGGAAGCCTGCTGTTTCCTGCCCTATGGTTTGGCCCAGATGGCCTTGGCTGACAGCCCAGGCCAAGATTTCATCCATCATCAGGGTCTGCGGTCAGAGGGTCACAGTTTTTTTAATTCCCATTTCATCCTTTTAGTGCGGAGAAGTTCACCAGCATTCAGGGACCAGCTTGGTTTAAAAAACGGGTTTGTTTTGTTTTGTTTTGTGAGGGCCTGCTAGGTACCAGATACTGTGTTTGGAACTTTTTTTTCTTTTTTTGAGATGGGGTCTTGCTCTGTCACCAGCTAGAGTGCACTGGTGCGATCTCGGCTCACTGCAACCTCCGCCTCCTCGGTTCAAGCGATTCCCCTGCCTCAGCCTCCTGAGTAGCTGGGATTACAGGCATGCACCACCATGCCCAGCTAATTTTTGTATTTTTAGTGGAGATGGTGTTTCACCCATGTTGGCCAGGCTGGTCTTGATCTCTTGACCTCATGATCTGCCCACCTCGGCCTCCCAAAGTGCTTGGATTACAAGTGCGTGCCACCACGTCCAGATAATTTTTGTATTTTTAGTAGAGATGAGGTTTAACTATGTTGGCCAGGCTGGTCTCAATGTTGTGATCCGTCTGCCTCAGCCTCCCAAAGTGCTAGGATTACAGGCGTGAGCCACCGCGCCCAGCCTGGAACTTTTACTCTGTTACCACAATTCACTCTGGAAAAAACCTGTTGAGGAATGCATTACTTATTACCTCTGTTGTACAGAGGAAGAAATGGAGTGTAGGGAAATGTAACAAGCCCCAAATTAAACCGCTGGTTAGCTGTAGAGTCCAATTGCAAACCTACGCCTCTGAAAGGGAGATCGCATCTGCAGTAGTGAGACTGTGGACACACTATTTAACTTGGAGGAATCTAATTGGCCTCTGTGCTCCTCTGTGTGGGTGTGTGCTGTCCCTGTGGTGTGCTGGGCACAGCAGTAATATCAGGGTGCTGATGGCCCTCGATGGGATTGCAGTGGAGATTGTGAGTGATGATATAGATAAGGTGTTACAGAAATGTCAGCTGCTGCTGCTATTACTACATAAAACTAGAGTTGCATAATCCTGGACTCGATTTTACTGGAAGACATTTTTGGAAGGTTATGTCTTAAGGTGGAGGAGAAGCATTATTTTAATTAAATTGAATTAATTAGTTAATTTTTAACATTTATTTTTATTAAAAAGTTTTTTTATAGAGATGGGGTCTTGCTACATTGCCCAGGTTGGTCTCGAACTCCTGGCCTCAAGCAATCCTCCCACCTTGGCCTCCCAAAGTGTTGGGATTACAGGCATGGTCCACTGTGCCCAGTCATTTTAATTTTTGAAATAATCAATATGTGGTGGGATAGAACGTGCATTTAACCTTAGAGCCGTTTTGAGTTTGAGCTGGTAATTTCTGGGCACGCTCCTGGCCCCTGGATGTTGGGAGATGTGGGTGAAATGGGGAGGGTGTGTTCACTTTCCTCTCTTCTCAGCCTGACTTCAGTGAAAGCTCAAGGTGCACTTGGCTGTTTCTACAGCTTCGGAGTTCCCAGCTCTGCCCAAGTTGGTGCCAGCGAGCTGTGACCTCAGGGCAGTCACTAACCTGCCCAGGCGAGTTTCTCTCCTGCCCAATTACCCTAGTTCTCTGAGTGAGTTTCCTCTTCCTTTGTGGCACTTCTGGGAGGACCATTCTCTCCCTGGAATGCCGCCTTCTGCCTGCCAAGTCCCTCCTTTTCCCTCTGAGCCCTGCACCACATTCTTCTCTTTGAAGCCCTCCAGGACTGCCACAGAGCAAGATCTTCACTGCGCCTTCTCTTCACTCCCAGTGTTCTTTGCATGGCCTCAGCATTTATTGGAGCCGCTGTCTGATTCATTTTGGATTCATCTCGTGCACTGTGCAATATGCAGTGGCTCTTCAGAGCCAGCACAATGGAGGTGACCCTTCTCCCCGTGCACCTTCCAGAGATTAACACGTAAACAAAGAAATAAACACAGATTCCAACTGTGATGCATGTGGTGAAGAAAGAACTGGGGCCCAGTATTTGTTGACCTTTCAGTGTTCTGCACTCCCAAGGGAGGGCCACGTGGTGGGGATGGAACACAGGCATGGACAGTACGTACCTTCCTCCTTTAGCAAACAGGGATGATGGGCGCCTGTGATTAGTCCACACAAAAGCATTCGGGAGGGTATAACACTCAAATGTAATATTAGTGGCGTGGCAAGATTCTTCCCCATTGATGACCATTAGTGTGCTATTTTTGTTTTCTCTATGAAGAAGAAAATTAAAATTTTTTTCATTGCATTTGGTAGCACTTTACTTTTTTTTTTTTTTTTCTTGAACAGTGTTAGGTTTACAGAAAAAATTGAACAAAAAGTACAGAGTTCCCATCTAACCTCTTACCTCTTTCAATTTCCCATGATTAACATCTTGCTTTGGTGAGGTACATTTGTTACAATAAATGTGGTAATACTGATACATTATTATTAACTGAAACGTGTAGTGTACACTTAGGGTTGGATCTTGGAGGTGTAGGTAGTGTGGACTTCAACCAATGTGTAAGGACATGTGGGGAGAATAATGGCTTTGCTGCCTTCAAAATCCCCTGCAATCCATGTCCTCATCCTTCCTGTTCCACGCCCAAATCCCTGGTCTTTTTACTGTCTCCATAGTTTGGCCTTTTCCAGAATGTCATAGACGTAGTTGGAACCCTGCAGTAAGTAGCCCTTTCAGACTGGTTTCCTTCCCTTTGCCAGCTCTGTTTTTTTTTTTTTTTTAACTGCTCCTTGCAGAGAAGGGTTGCCCCATAGGCAGGGTGCCCAGAGTAGCCTCATTTTTCTTTTAATTAATTTAATTTTTTTTTTTTTTGGTAGAGATGGGATTTCACTATTTTGCTCAGGCTGGCCTTGAACTCCTAGCCTCAAGTAATCCTTCCACCTCGGTCTCCTAAAATGCTGGGATTACAGGCATGAGCCATCCTGCCCAGCCTTACTAGCTCATTTTTTTTATCACTGAATTCTGTTCCATCGTATGAATATATGGTACCATATTTTGTTTATTCACCTGATGAAGGACATCTTGGTTGTGTCCAAGTTTTTGCAATTATGAATAAATATTTAGTCAACATGAGTGTGCCGGTTCTTGAATAGAGATAACTGTTCAGTTTATTTGCATAAATGTTCAGTTCATTTGCATATACCAAGGAATGTGATTGCTGGATCCTTTGGTAAGAGTATAGTCAACTTTGTAACAAACTACCTTCCAAAGTGGCTGGGCTGGTTTTTTTTTTGAACAGAGTCTTGCTCTGTCACCCAGGCTGGAGTGTGGTTGTACAGTCACGGCTCCCTGCCACCCTGAGCTCTGGGGCTCAAGCCATCCTCCCATCTCAGCCTCTCGAGGAGCTGGGACTGTGGGCATGTGCCCTCACGCCTGGCTAAACATGTTTTTATTTTTCATAGATACAAAGTCCCACTGTGCTACCCAGGTTGGCTGTACTGTTTTGCAGTGCTTGAGGGTTCCCTGTTGAAAATTTTTTATTTTTCATAGATACAGAGTCCCACTGTGCTGCCCAGGTTGGCTTTATTTTTATTTATTTATTTATTTTTTTAAAATCTGGGACGGAGTCTCGCTCTGTTGCCTAGGCTGGAGCACAGTGGCACGATCCTGGCTCACTGCAACCTCTGCCTCCCGGGTTCACGCCATTCTCCTGCCTCAGCCTCCTGAATAGCTGGGACTACAGGTGCCTGCCACCATGCCTGGCTAATTTTTTGTATTTTTAGTAGAGACGGGGTTTCACCATGTTAGCCAGGATGGTCTCGATCTCCTGACCTCGTGATCCTCCCGCCTCGGCCTCCCAAAGTGCTGGGATTACAGGCGTGAGCCACCGCGCCTGGCCGGCTGGGCCATTTTACAGTGTTTGAGGTTCCTGTTGCCGCACATCCTCACTAGCATTTGGTGTTGTCAGTGTTTTGGATCTGGGCTGTTCTAACAGGTGTGTAGTAGTATCTTGTTGTTTTAATTTGCAATTCCCTAATTACATATCATGTTGGACATCTTTTCATTGGCTTGTTTGCCATTTGTATATCTTCAGTGAAGTGTCTGTTGTTTGTTTTCTTATATTTTACAAAATAGTGTTTTTCTATTTATAATCTTATTTATTGTCTCTGACTTATCTGAAAGGAGAAGGAAAAAAGATTATGTGCGTACATGGGATGACTGATGATATGGTTTGGCTGTGTCCCCACCCAAATCTCATCTTGCATTCCCACCTGTTGTGGGAGAGACCCGGTGGAGGTCATTGAATCATGGGGGCGGGTCTTTCCCGTGCTGTTCTCATGAGAGTGAATAAGTCTCACGAGAGCTGATGGTTCTGTAAGGGGGAGTTTTCCTGCACAAGCTCTCTCTTTGCCTGCTGCCGTTTATGTAAGACGTGACTTGCTCCTCCTTGCCTTCCACCATGATTGTGAGGCTTCCCCAGCCACGTGGAACTGTAAGTCCATTAAACCTCTTTCTTTTGTAAATTGCCCAGTCTTGGGTATGCCTTATCAGCAGCGTGAAAACGGACTAACACAACTGGGACGGGAAAAGGCCCCAAACACACATAGTTCTGTCTAGCAAAGAGTACTATGAAGTGTTGAGAAGTTGGACTATGCTTGTGGTTAAGAGCTTATGCTTGGAGTTCAAATCCTGGGCCTTTGTCGCTTACCAGCTGTCATTTACCTCTCTGAGCCTCAGTTTGCTCACCTGTACAATGGGGTTGTTAAAACCTGCCTCATAGGGTTACTTTGAAAGATAAAGGAGATGATTCCATAAGCACTTGGAACTAAACCTTGCAAATGGTAAGCCCTCAATGGTGGTTCTCCTAATTGATCATTGACAGACAAACCTTTCACCTCCCCCATGTGACATTTTGTGTTTCCCTTATGTCCCGGTCTTCGAGACTCAGAGCCCACTGGCATCCCATTTGTCCTTACAGTGCAAAGTCGGGGTGTGTGTGCAGGTGGGGAGCAGGCATGCCCCAGCAGGGTGTGCGGGCAGATGGGGCAGTTGGGGAGCACGCTTGCCTCAGCAGGGTGTGCATGCAGATGGGGAGCACGCGTGCCCCAGCAGGGTGTGCACGCAGATGGGGAGCACGCGTGCCCCAGTAGGGTATGCACGCAGATGGGGAGCACGCGTGCCCCAGCAGGGTGTGCGCGCAGATGGGGAGCACGCGTGCCCCAGCAGGGTGTGCGTGCAGATGGGGAGCACGCGTGCCCCAGCAGGCACCCACTTCTCAGCCTCAGGGCACTGCTCCTAGCCTCCTCTCACTTGCCCCAGGACTCAGTTCTCTAGCCAGTCCTGGGTGGCTGTTTCTGTTTCTCCAAGCCTGGCTATACAGGCGTAGAAACCCCAGGGATTCCCCCTTCCAGCTTCTCTGAGGATGAACCCCCCGGTGGTTTTGTTTGAGGAAGTTCCTGCTAATGGCAATGAGAAGTTAGAGAGGTGGGAAAGTGACCAGGCAGATGGAGTCCTCACAGCAGTGGCTGTAGACTTGCCAGCTACTGCCACCTTTGCAGATGGGATTTAGGGTGTTCTGTTTGTTTGTTTGCCTTTGAGACAGGGTCTCACTCTGTAGCCCAGCCTGGAGTGCAGTGGCACGATCATGGCTCACTGCAGGCTTAACCTCCCCAGGCTCAGGTGACCCTCCTACCTCAGCCTCCCAAGTAGCTGGGATTACAGGTGTGTGTCACTGAGCCCAGCTAATTTTTTCTGTGTGTGTGTGTGTTTTCAGAGACAAGGTTTCACCATGTTGCCCAGGCTGGATTCAAACTCCTGGGCTCAATCGATCCTCCCGCCTTGGCCTCCCAAAATGCTGGGATTACAGGCCAGGATGGTTTTTGATTTGGCCTCACCAACGGGCCTCCTGCCTCTCTCAGCAAGGCCAGGTGGCCTTTCCCCTCATGCTGATTCCTCTTCCCAGTATATACACTTTCTATTCATCAGGTCTCCTGCCCAGATATGAGCCCCTCTGGGCATTTCCCCCAATACAGAAGAGGATGATGATGAGAATAGTGATGACTGATGGTGACAATGTCTGATGGAGGTGAATATGATGATGTAACAGTGATTGTGATGATAGTGATGATGGTGATGGTGATTGACAATGATGGTGATGATTATAGTGATGGTGGTAACTGAGATGACAGTGATGGTGGTGATGATGACTGATGGAGGTGAACATGGTGATGATGTAACAGTGATTGTGATGATAGTGATGATGGTGATGCTGATTGACAATGATGGTGATGATGAGGGCGATGATAGTGGTGTTGGTGATGATGATGGTGATCATGATGATGGTGATGATGATAGTGATGATGGTGGTGGTGACACAGATGACAGTGATGGTGATGATGATGATGTGGGTGATGGTCATGATAGTGGTGATGATGTCTGATGGTGGTGATGGTGATGATGATGTGGGTGATGATGGTGATGATGTCTGATGGTGGTGATGGTTATGATAGTGGTGTTGGTGATGATGATGGTAATAATGATGACGGTGATGGTGATGGTGATGATTATAGTGATGGTGGTGGTAACCGAGATGACAGTGATGGTGGTGATGGTGACTGATGGAGGTGAATATGATGATGATGTAACAGTGATGGTGATGATAGTGATGATGGTGATGATGATGAGGGTGATTATAGTGGTGTTGGTGATCATGATGGTAAAAATGATGATGGTGATGATGACAATGTCTGATGGTGATGATGACTGGAGGTGAATATGATGGTGACAATGATGGTGATAGTGATGACGATGATGACAGTGGTGACGATGATGATGGTGATGATGGGGGTGATGATAGTGATGATGGTGGTGATGACAGAGATGACAGTGATGGTGATGGTAATGATGATGACTGATGGTGATGATGGTGAATATTATGATGATGATGATGATGGTGATGATGAGGATGGCCATGATGGCCCTACCCTGAGAATGCACACTGTGACAGGCTTTGTGCTGGTTGTGTTACCTACACCACCTCTATCAGGTTTTCTCAACTCCAGTGCTTTGGCGTTTAGGCTGGATAACTCTGTCATGGGGGCTGTTTTGTGCCTCAGGGATGTTTAGCAGCATTCCTGGCCTCTACCCACTGGATGGATAGTAGTCAACAGCACCCGCAACTATGTCTCCAGATATTTCCAAATGTCTCTTGGGGGACAAAATCACTCCGATTCAGAACCACCGGTTGAATTTATTCTTCCCAATAGCCCCAGGAGGCAGCTACTCATTTATAGATGATGCACCCAAGCCTTAGAGAAATGAAGGAAGTTGCCCAAGGTCACCAAGCTCATAATTCGCAGCCAGAATGCAAACCTCAGATACGCGACCCTGAGCCCAGACCTGTAACCACTGCCCTTTGTCACCTGTCAGAAGAAGAGAATTCATCAGCCTGCTGGCAGGGCTACCTGGAGTGCGTGACAGGGTTGAGCGCCTGCTTTGTCAGTCCCAGCATCCCTTGCCAGATTCATTTGGAGCTAATAAAAGCAGTGGCTCTGCCCATTTTCTGACTTGGTTTGAACTCAGAGAGCTGAATGTGTTTACGTAGAGACTGACTCCACAGCCCTCAGTCCTGTGCCACGATAGGGAAGTCCTGCATCTTCTGCTTCCCTGAGGCAGCCATGTCACCTGGTGTGTCGCCTGTGGACACCTGTGGGGAGCAGGAACAGGCATGGATGTGTTTTTTTGCAAGTGGGACCTTGCAAGGTCATTGTCTGTGTCCTCCTAATGTTGTGAACCTGGTTTCTACAGGTTGAATGCCCAAAATACCTACTTGTAATTTTACTTTTATAATAATTTATTATGAATAATTAAAAACATGCAGCAAAGTGGAACAAATGTTATAGTGAAACTTACATGCCTGACATTTGGATTCCATCACTAATAATTTCCTTGATCTGTCGTGGTGTTTCTTGTTTCTGGAACCCAGATTAGCATCATGTCTGGCTGGTTGGTCAATGAGACTCTATAAATTCTCTATGAGGAGAATAAATTAATAACATATTAATTTGGGATAGATGGTCTTCATTCACCAGAGTAATGGGGGATGTCATGGATGACCTTCTAATCACCATCACCAATCATCACCACATACAGAAACCCTATTCCCTTTTGCTGTCCCCCTTCCCTGACCCCAACAAGCCCTAGGCAACCACTAATCTACTTTCTGTCTCTATAAATTTGTCTATTCTGAACATTTTACATAAATGGGATCATATATGTGGTTTTTTGTGACTGGCTTCTTTTAACAGATTTTCAAGGTTTGTCTGTGTTGTAGCATGAATCGATACTTCATTCCTTTTTATAGCCAAATAATATCCTTTTGTGTGGATACACCATATTTTGTTTGTCCTTTTCCCAGTTGATGGACATTTGAGTTGTTTCCCCCTTTGGCTATTGTGAATGGTGCTGCTATGAGCATTGGTGTACAGGTTTTAATTTGAACACTTGCTTTCAATTCTTTTGGGTCTATACCTGGGAGCGAAATTGTTGGGTCAGATGATAATTGTGTGTTAACTTGTTGAGGAACTAAACTGTCTTCCATAGTGGCTGCACCATCTCCATTCCCACCAACAAGGCACAAGTGTTCCAGTTTCTCCACATCCTCACGAACACTTGTTATTTTTCATATTTTTT
Organism: Homo sapiens; assembly: GCF_000001405.40. NCBI lineage: Eukaryota > Metazoa > Chordata > Mammalia > Primates > Hominidae > Homo > Homo sapiens. Next base: position 313,624 of record NW_003315952.3, on the reverse strand, counting down.
AGTGTAGCCATCCTAGTGGATGTGAAGTGGTATCTCATGGTGGTTTTGATTTGTATTTTCCTGATGGTTAACAATATTGAGTCTTTTTTCATGTGATTTTTGGGCATTTGCGTATCTTCTTTGGGGAAATGTCTTTTCAAATCCTTTGCCCATGTTTAAATGGAATTGTCATTTTGTTGTTGAGTTGTGAGAATTATTTATATAGTGTAGATACTAGACCCTTATGAGATATATGGTTTGCAAATATCTTCTCCCATTCTATGGGCTGTCTTTTCACCTTCTCGATAGTGTCCTTTGATGGACAAAGTTGTAAATTATGACAGATTTACAAATTACGATAAAGTCAGCCAGGCACAGTGGTGTATGCCTGTCATCTCAGCTATCTGGGGGGCCGAGGTGGGAGGACAACTTGAGCCCAGGAGTTTGAGATGAACCTAAACAGCACGGCATTACCCCGTCTCAAAAAAATTATGATAAAAAATCCAATTTGTCTCTTTTTTCTTTTGGTGTGTATGGTGTCATCTAAGAAATCATTGCCAAATCTTAGATGACACCAAAATGTAGATGACACCTATTTTTTGGTGTCCTCTAAGAAATCACTGCCAAATCTGAAGTCATGAAAATTTACCCTGACATTCCTTATACGAATTTCATAGTTTTAGCTCTTGCATTAGGTTTTGATCCGTTTGAGTTAAATTTTGCAATGGTGTGATGTCAGGGTCCACGTCATCCTTCTGCAGGTGGCTCTGCACTTGTCCCAGCAGATGTTGTTGGAAAGACTGTTCTTTCTCCGTCGTATGGTCTCGGCATCCTTGTTGAAAGTCAGTTGACCACGGATGTATGGGTTTATTTCTGGGCTCTCAGTTCTATTCCAGTGCCACAGTTTTCAGTACCATATGGGCAGGAGGCATCCTGCTCTGAGGGAGTGTTTGGTCCAGTAGGAGAGGTCAGACACGTTCACCAGAAACTGCGAAGTTCTGGGAAGAGGTAAAAACAGTGTGCTTATGAGGACGAGGCAGCGATTGCTTCAGCCCTGGGCAGTAAGTGTGGATGTGGGGAGACCTGGGCAGGGGCAGTGAGTGTGGATGTGGGGAGGCCTGGGAGGGGGCAGTGAGTGTGGATGTGGGGAGACCTGGGCAGGGGCAGTGAGTGTGGATGTGGGGAGGCCTGGGAGGGGGCAGTGAGTGTGGATGTGGGGAGGCCTGGGTGGGGGGCAGTGAGTGTGGATGTGGGGAGGCCTGGGAGGGGGCAGTGAGTGTGGATGTGGGGAGGCCTGGGTGGGGGGCAGTGAGTGTGGATGTGGGGAGGCCTGAGCCCGGGGCAGTGAGTGTGGATGTGGGGAGGCCTGGGTGGGGGGCAGTGAGTGTGGATGTGGGGAAGCCTGGGTGGGGGACAGTGAGTGTGGATGTGGGGAGGCCTGGGTGGGGGGCAGTGAGTGTGGATGTGGGGAGGCCTGGGTCGGGGCAGTGAGATTGGATGTGGGGAGGCCTGGGAGGGGGGCAGTGAGTGTGGACGTGGGGAGGCCTGGGTGGGGGGCAGTGAGTGTGGATGTGGGGAGGCCTGGGTGGGAGGCAGTGAGTGTGGATGTGGGGAGGCCTGGGAGGGGGGCAGTGAGTGTGGACGTGGGGAGGCCTGGGTGGGAGGCAGTGAGTGTGGATGTGGGGAGGCCTGGGTGGGAGGCAGTGAGTGTGGATGTGGGGAGGCCTGGGTGGGGGGCAGTGAGTGTGGATGTGGGGAGGCCTGGGCCCAGGGCAGTGAGTGTGGACGTGGGGAGGCCTGGGTGGGGGGCAGTGAGTGTGGATGTGGGGAGGCCTGGGAGGGGGGCAGTGAGTGTGGATGTGGGGAGGCCTGGGTGGGGGGCAGTGAGTGTGGATGTGGGGAGGCCTGAGCCCGGGGCAGTGAGTGTGGATGTGGGGAGGCCTGAGCCCGGGGCAGTGAGTGTGGATGTGGGGAGGCCTGAGCCCGGGGCAGTGAGTGTGGATGTGGGGAGGCCTGGGTGGGGGGCAGTGAGTGTGGATGTGGGGAGGCCTGAGCCCGGGGCAGTGAGTGTGGATGTGGGGAGGCCTGAGCCCGGGGCAGTGAGTGTGGATGTGGGGAGGCCTGGGCCTGGGCATGAGGTATGACACCAGGTGTGTGTTTGTCTGGAGACAAATTTGGCAAGGCACGGTGGAGTCTGTGGATGGCCATGAACTCCCAGCTGAGGACCCTGGGCTTGATTTTGAGGTGTTTGGGTGGAGCGGGGCCTTTGGAGAGCCTGTCTGATGGCAGGATTGGCCGGGTCTGAGCTGGGGAGCCTGGAGCCAGGGGGACCCCTTAGGACTATGGGGTGACTGAGGAGGTCTGGGTGACACCTGGTTCAGGCAGTGGGTCTGGTGGGGAGCAGGGGCTGTCTTTGAAAATGCCCCAGGGCTCAGACACCAGCTCCTTTGTGCCTCTGCTCTGAGGGCCTAGGCTGGGACAACAGTGGCACTGAGGGCTGGTGACTGAGGTCCCACAGGTCCCAGCCCCTGCCTGCTCCGGGAAACAGCCAGCCCGTCTCCTCTGCAATCCCCTTCAGGCTGCCCCGGCCCAGTTCTTCTCAGAACTCCCGTTTGGCCAATTACTGCGCGACTTACAGTTTCTGGGAACTCTGTGCTCCCCGCTGCTGGGTGTGTGGCAGGTGCTCGGAGAATACCCGGCTCATTGCTTTCGTTAGGCACCTGTAGGCACCGCACCTGCAACCCGACGCCTTGGGAGGAGGAGGGGGATAGAAAGCACCTGGGCTCAGCCCAGCTCCGTTGGGCCAAACTGGGCACCTGGTGCCAGCTTATGGGGCCTTGGGCACGTGGCTGCCCCTCTCGAGCTGGTTTCTTCTTTTCTGAAAGGAGTGATGATCACGTCGTCCTCTGGGGCTTGTGATGATTCCAGTTGGTCAGCCAGTGGCGGGCACCTGGCAGGTGGGCAGCACCCATGGAGGCGGCTTCTTCCTCTCCCAGTTTGGTAGTGCAGGGTCAGGCTGGGCACGTGTAGGGATGTTTGTTAACTTGGGGGCCCCTCCTAGAGGCCCTGAAAACTCCTAGCTAAGTGCCAGTGGTTCTGTCTGACCCTTCCCCCTGCCTGTCTTCTCTGTAGCAAGCCATGTTCTGGGGTGGCCCCCACTGTTGCCTGAGCCCTCCGCTGGCCCTCTTATGGGCATTCTCACTTATTTGGGGTCTTAGCCTCTGCCAGGAGAATGGGTAGTGTGCAGAGAACCGGACAGCTTGTTCCCAGGCAGGGCAGTGCCTAACCCTGGAGTTGCAACAGAGAAACGCCTGTTTGTGTTTCTGTGAGCAAGAGGAGACAGCTGGGCCCACAGATAGCAGGCGAGGTCAGCCGGGGATGGCCTTGGCTGCTGGCTGTAAGCAAACCCTGGCTCTGGTGAGGTGAGGGGAGGAAGGTTGGAGAAGTACCTGGCAGGACCCGCGGAGAGCCACCTGGGAGCTGGAGTCTGGGCTGGGCCGTGCAGAAGCTGCTGGCGGAGGCAGGGGTGTGGGACGCTGCCCCCCGGGGCCTGGAGCACCGCCCTCAGCACACCTGAGGACTGGGCCTTTTCCAAGCGGGTGAGGAGGGTTGAGGCTTCTTTTTCCCTAGAAGCTTCTCTGCTTCATGGAGAGGTTTCTCTTGGGCTCCTTCAACAAGCAGTTCCCAGGTGGGAGCCGAAATCAGGTTTCCTCTGCAAAGATTCTGCCTGCCTGGGACTTTCCAGACCCACATACATCACGTAAATGGAAGCAGGCCTGCGTTTCTGCATTAAAAGACAAATAGCATGAATGCTCGATACTGCCCGTCCCAAGCCAGGTGCCCGGCAGCCTGGGAGCACTTGGGCATTTTCTGGGCAGAGAGTGCTCAGGGGCCACAGGTACCTACGTATTATTCTGGTCACGTTTGCAGTAAGTTTGAATTTCATTTTCTCTTCTCTCTTTCTCTCTCTCTCTGTGTGGTTACCCTGTAAATTTTTTTTTTTTTGAGACAGGGTCTTGCTCTGTTACCCAGGCTGGAGGGCAGTGGTGCAATCATGGCTCACTGCAGCCTCCGTCTCCTGGGCTCAAGTGATCCTTCTCAGCCTCCTGAGTATCTGAGACTACAGGTATGTGCCACCATGCCCAGCTAAGTTTTAAATTTTTTGTAGAGACAGGGTCTTGCTCTGTTGCCCAGGCTGGTCTCGAACTCCTGAGCTCAAACGATCCTCCTGCCTTGGCTTCCCAAAGTGCTGGGGTTACAGGTGTGAGCCACCACGCCCAGCCTGGTTTCCCTGCCGTCACCACCTTCAGCTCTGTGACTGCCTTGATACAGCAGTTCCACCTACACTGTTTCAGGCCTTTCAGAAAAGACAAAAGCAAGCTATGCCTCTGGGGACACGTAGGCAGAGCTGTGGCTGTTAAAATCTGAGGGCTGGCACTTGAGATGGGGGAGAAGTAGGTTATTTCACATCTCATTTGCATTGGAGGCTTTGCAGAGTGTTTCTGCCTGGGAATGAGAACAGCATCAGATGAAGAGACGAGCAGGGATTTGGGGTCCACTGGAGCGGGAGTTGCCAGTCATTAAAGATGCCCAAGGATTTACTTTCCAAGGTTAAAAAAGACCCACAGGATTAAGTGAAACCTCCTACGTGTGCCCCATGAGGGGCCTTGCCGGGGTACAAAAAAAACCCCTGCCCAGCCCTCGAGCAGCGAGACTGAGCGGCTGGGCACGGGCCTGGTGCCTCGTCAGCACCCAGCGTGTGTGTGTTGAATGAACGAGGCCAAGGAAACTGAGAGGTGCCGCTGTTGGTCCTGCCGAGGACAGGAGCAGACGCTTAGCTCTGTGACCAAGTTGGGGTGCCTCCTGGACGGGGTCCTGGGTGGCATGTCCAGGATTGCTGCTCCTCAAAGCACACAGGCAAGAAAGGCTGCAGGAGTCTTAGCAGGGGCTGGAGGGTCCGTAGAGAGCCCGTGTGTGGCAGAGGGAAAGAGGCAGGTTAAGGAGGCCAGCGAGGCTGAGCCTTATGCCGTGAGGCGGTTTTTAAGATAAAATTTTGTTGGCAGGCTGGGTGTCGTGGCGTACTCCCATAGTCCCAGCTACCTGGGAGGCTGAGGCAGGAGGATCATTTGAGCCCAGGAGTTTGAGACCAGCCTGGACAACAGAGCAAGACCCTGTCTTTACCAAAAAATTAAAAAATTAGCCAGGCGTGTAGTTCTAGCGACTTGGGAGGCTGATGCGAGGATCACGGGAGCCGAGGAGTTGGAGGCTGCAGTGAACTGTGACTGTGCCACTGCACTCCAGCCTGGGCAACGGAGCAAGACCCTGTCTCAAAAAAAAAAAATTATTGGTGCGTAACCGATGTACGTAGTTCCAGTGAGTGGCAAACTCTTGACGGTTAAATTAGTCCCCTGAAGGGGTACTGGACCCACCATGTCTGGGCATCGGGGTAACAGGTAAATGCCCCCGAGGATGCGGGCGGAATGAAATGCTGACGGGAGGGCGGTGGGCTCAAGCCGAATGGGAGCCTGATGGGAGGAGCTGGAGAATTCCCAGGGGAGGTGGTGCTGGGCCACCCCCAGGTGGAGGAGGTAGACAGCGTGAACCAAAGGCGTTCCAGGTGAGAGGGTGCCGGAGACAAGGCTGGGCGGCTGCAATGCCTCAAGGTCCTGGTGGCTGGAGCACCAGTTTTGCAGAGGGGTGGCTGGCAGAATGCAAGGGTGGTTTGTGCCAGATCATGGACGGCCTTGAGGGCAGCTAGGGCTTGTTTCCTTAGTAGTGGGGAGCCACCGAAGGTTTCTGAGCAGGGGAATCACACGGCCTGACCTGGGCTGTAAGGATGGTCTCTCTGGCTGTACGTGAAGAGGGGCAACGGGGAGCCCCAGCAGGTTCCAAGGCAGATGAGGAAGATTTGCCACGGTCTGGGCAAGAGAGGAGGAGCATCGGAGCTGGGAGGAGGGGGAGCCGCCCCGAGCAGGCAGACCTGGCAGGGTGCCCGGGGACGGTGGAGTTTGAGGGAGGTTTGTCAGGCACTGGTTTCCCCGGGGCTCCTGCTTCAACTCTGGAATCCACTCGAGCCCGCTTGGTGCATAGTCAGCCTGCAACGCTTCCGAGTGAGTGGTTCTTTGGGCGTTTAGACAGGCCTTTGAGGCTCCCTCTCTGAGTCTTTAATCCTCCCAGCGCCGCCTGACAGGTGGAGGAAATGTTGACGTCTGGGCTCACCTTATCTTGCTGCCCTCCTCGTGTTTCCCGTGTCATAGTAACAGAGCAGATGTCAGAGCTGTTGCTAAGGGTCCCCTCGGATATTAATACCTTGTGTTGGACGAAGGGCTCCCACACGGTGTCTTCGAGGCCTCGGGAAGCACCGGCTCGGTGGCAAGTATGGCCTAGGCACAGCGCCCAGTGGGATGGCACACTCTGCAGCAGCAAATGTGCAGCCGTTCTCCCTCCACGCCGGGGGCAGACGTGACTAACAGATCACAGCATGCTTTCCTACGGAGGCTGGAGGCAGCCTCCAGCCCCTTTTCAACCCAGCCCTCTGGGCGCCAGCTCAGATTTAGCACTTGGGATGAAGCCTCTCTTCCAGCCCTGCAGGCGCCACCTGCGAAGCCTCCAGGCCCTCTCCACGGGGTACTTCCTCTGGCACCTGGGAGGGGAGGGGAGTGGGTTTTGCTTGCCTCTTGTGTCTCCTGTTTGCCTCCCTCGTCTGGTCTTTTGGCCTTTCCACCACAAGTGGAAAATCAAACTGAATAGCTCTGGACATTGAGGTCAGGGTTGGGATTTTATCAGCCAGATGCCATTTTTATCCGTTATATATTGCTGGGGTAACACTGCATGACAAGCATACCTGTCCAAACTTGGGGGCTCACGACCACCATTTATTACCCCTCCTCAGTCTACGGGCCGGCCGGGCGGTTCTGCCACTCTTGGCCGGGCCGTGCATTTCATTCTAAGCATCGTGATGCAGCGGCTCAGAGGGCACCAGCCACCCCTGGTGTGGAAAATGCACTTGAGCCCTCTCTCTGTGGCCGACACCAACTGGCGTCCTGCAGCGCTGGTGTTGGCCTTCGCACGTGGGTGTCCTAGGCACAGCGACTTCCCCCAGCCCCTCCATCCGCCGCCTCCTTCCCACTGTTCACCCTGCATCATTTCCTTTATTCTCACCATAGAGATAATCTCACCCGGACACCTGCACCCTCATACCCGGGCCCCCTTTGTCACAGTCGCTCGGGGGTCACAGTGTGGCTGTGCTCTTGGGAATGCGTCCCCAGCCAAGCATATCTGCTGGTCTCAGGAGCTCGGGTATGCTGCCCACGCTCACCGTGGGTCGGACCCTGTGGCTGGATGAAAGCGCGCTCGTTCGTGCCACACCCTAGGAGTCTGAAGCCTCAGTTATATCAGTGAACGTGTCCCTGAAACAAGATCGAAGAGGTGAAAATGCCAGGGTGTAAGGTGGGGAGCGATCACAGCCCTGGAAGAAGGAGGAGCCGCACTTGCTGGGGTGGTTGCCTTGTCCCTGTCCCTGTCCCTCCGCAGTGGATGGGCTGGCCCTGGGGGAAGGCGTGGGGAGAAGGAGCCGCACTTGCTGGGGGTGGTTGCCTTGTCCCTGTCCTTGTCCCTGTCCCTCCACAGTGGACGGGCTGGCCCTGGGGGAAGGCGTGGGGAGAAGGAGCTGCACTGGGTGGGGTGGTTGCCTTGTCCCTGTCCTTGTTCCTGTCCCTCCGCAGTGGATGGGCTGGCCCTCGGAGAAGGCGTGGGGAGAAGGAGCTGCACTTGCTGGGGTGGTTGCCTTGTCCCTGTCCCCCCGCAGTGGACGGGCTAGAGACTCCGTGGGTGTTTGCCGGGCTTCTCTGAGGCAGGTTGTTTTGCCTCCGGATATGTTTTTCAAAGTCTGATACGTGTTAGAGACAGACAGCTGCGGGCGGCTGTTGTTTTTCTCACTGTGCTGTGGCTGCTGAGAGTTTTGGAAGGTCAGGGTCGAGCCGCGGTTCTCCTGGAGTGATGACTATGCGCACTGCTTCCTAGCCTGTACGGGGATGAGCTCCCAAGGCCCGTTTACGGGACCCTGTAGTCGGGGCGGGGAACAGTCGGCTGGAGGGGTGTCATGTGACCGGCCCCAGCCACTGGTCACTCAGGGCTCTCAAGCCAGTGCTGGCTTTACCAGCTTCTGAGCCCACAAATGCTGTTAAGGAGATAGAAGCCTTCTTTTAAGTAGATGCAACTGTTTGCAAAGAAGAGGCCCTTTATTTTATTTTATTTATTTATTTTTTTGCGAATAGAGGATCGTCTGCCTTATTGAAACCATCTAATTGGAGATCCGCAGATTAGGCTACCAAGACACAGCTGCCTCCAGCAGAATTTGTGTAGTGGACACTTGTACGTGCACTTTGGAGACAGCAAGCATGAGGCCTGCAGCTGACAGCTTTGAGTGGCTGTGAACCTGACTATGGAAAAGGTATCTCAAAAAATACACTGAAAAAATGCACTTCATTTCCCTTTTGGGAACTTATCCTAAGGCAGTCGTCAGAGATTTATCTGCCAGGATGTCCATTTCAGTGCTGCATATAATCGAGCAAAATTGGAAACAATCCATGTGCTCCCAAACAGGAAGATGGTAAAACGTATTGTATTCAGAATACTAAGTTATAGTTTAAAATCATATTTTTAAAGAACTTTAATACTGTGGGAAAGCACAAGGTGGTTTAAAAAACCAGCAAGCAGCATATATAGTAAGAACCCAATTTTATTTAGAAACCAGCAAGCAGCGTATGCAGTAAGAACCCAATTTTATTACAATTTGTACATAAATGCCCAGGAAAAGTTGGAAGGTGCTACATTAAGGTGTTAAGAGTCGCCATGGGGGTGGCTGATGTGAGAATTTAAGGTGTTTTCTCTTTAGGATAAAATATCCTACCGCCCCCAGGAGTGACCACGTGAGGCTGCATAATGGCCGTCTCTGTGTCTGCAGTGATGTCTGCAGTGACGAACGCCCGGGGTGGTGAGCTCTAATGGCCTTCTCTGTGTCTGCAGTGATGTCTGCAGTGACGAACGCCCGGGGTGGTGAGCTCTAATGGCCGTCTCTGTGTCTGCAGTGATGTCTGCAGTGACGAACGCCCGGGGTGGTGAGCTCTCGACTTTAGAGAGAGAATTGCATCCTCCTGGAAGAAGGGGTTGTTTTTACCGATCTGTCTCAGGAAGTTGCCTGGGGCTGATGAGCCTCTGTCCCCTAGGAATTTTTCGGGAAATTATCACCGGCAACTCCTGTTCCGTTCCCTGTACCCCTCGGGTCCTCCTAGTCCCTGTACTGCGGGGTTTTACAAGGGTTCCGGAACATCTGCCTGCTGGGCCGGCCAGCCCGAGTGCTGCCTCTGCTCAGCGTGTGTCGCCCGGCGGGGTCGAGGTGGCACCAGGAGGTCTCAGCTTCCCAGAGGAGGCTCCTGGGGGCACCAGCCCCTCAGCAAGGAGCGAGCTCAGCCGTCAGGTGGAGCTGCCTTGAGGCCGACTACCCCGTGGGGAATCTTGAGGGACAAACGGCCTGTGAGTCAGCAAGTCGCAGAGCCTGGTTAGAGTCCAGCTGTCTGCTCTGAGCATGTCTGGGCTGTTTTCTGAATTCTTCCTTGTCTGGGAAAGCCACATCTCTCTGATGAAATACAGTTGAATTAAATGGATATTCCCTGAGCACCTACTTTGCAGCAGGCTCTGTGTGGGCATCAGGAAGGGAGGGAAGGAGGAGGATGTAGGGACCCTCTAGGGCACCCAAGGTCCAGCAGGGAAGGAGAAATGGAAATTTCATGTCGATAGAACTGAACACTTCTGGGCGGGCTCCTGGGTGGATGCCCACCCTCTCCACGAGGGGCTTGCCTTCCCCATCAGCAGCCTTGACCTATGTGCTCATTGAATATGCTCCTGTACACACACACGCGCACACACACACGCTCCTCCTTCCCCAGCCTCTTACCTGTCCCAGCTGGTAGGACCTCAGAGACAGACCTGGCCCTGGGGATCACGTCTCTAGTTTACGGAGGAAGTGGCCAGAGCTCCACCAGCCCTGTCCACAGAACCTCCTGTGTCTGCTCCCCGCAGAGCTCCACCAGCCCTGTCCACAAAATCTCCTCCGTCTTCTCCCCGCAGAGGTCCATCAACCATGTCCACAAAACCTCCTGCCTCTGCTCCCCCCAGAGCTCCACCAGCCCTGTCCACAGAACCTCCTGCCTCTGCTCCCCAGGCCAATTCCATCCTCCCTCCTGAATTTGGGGGTTTGCCTTCCCTGCTTTTCCACTCACCTTCTATAAGGCCCTATTTTGTTCCCTCATCAGTTTAATTTTTGTCCAGGACAAATGGTCATACCTGAGTACAAGGGCGCAGTCTGTGTTTAATGCACAGGGCACTGCTCTCTGGAGTTTTCAGGACCCTGCTTTTAAGAGAGAAGGGTCAGACTTTCTGCCCTCTGAGCCCAAGAGGTGAGTGCTGAGTGGTGGCGAGCATAGTTTACCCACTGGTGAAGGGGGTGCCGGGCATGGGGGTCGGCTGATGAGGCCCTCCTTGCTGCCGAGTCAGGGAGCCTCTGCATGCTGACGAGGTTTGGAGAATCGAAACTGGCTCCGTGGGCAGTTTCCTAAAATGTGCCTCCTCGAGTTGCCCTTCCTCTCCCACCATCTGTCCCGAGGTTGCTCCGTGCGAGTGAAGGACAGCTGTGCCTTCTGAGGTGCCAGCCACGGCCAGGGTGGGGGTGCACAGCCGTCCCAGAGCCGGGGCCTGAATTCTCCTGGGTCCTCATGTCCGACCTTTGCTCAGGGCCACCCCTGTGAACGTGGTCAGCCACAGACTTGCCATCAGTGATGAACCTGCCCTGGCGCTGCCCGTGGCCCCAGCTCTGGAGGCGACATCCTTCCGTCTCCCTTGATCTCTGCAGCATTTGGCTCTTTCCGTCTCCCTTCATCTCTGCAGCATTTGGCTCTGTGGCTCTTCTGCCCTGAAGCTACAGCAGTGAGAGGGGTGGGGACATGTAGGAAGCAGTTCTCGCGGCCTCCTCCTCTCTGTCCTGTGGACTGGGCTGGGGAGGGCTCAGTTCCCACCTCCCACGTGGGAGCAGCCAGCAGCCTGCCTGCTGGCTGCCTGCCTCCCTTGCCTCCCTCGCTTGCCTCCCTCGCCTCCCTCATGTAACTCAGCAGGGTCCAAATCAGGCATTGAAATTGCAGGAGGCGGTTGCTCCGGCCTGTCTCAAGCTCTGTTGGGTGCCGATGGGGAAACTGAGGCTCAGGAAGACAGTTGACTTGTTCCTGGACTTCTAGTAAGTTTACATAAAAGCCAAAATTTCACAGATCTTTTTTTTTTTTTTGAGATTATGTCTCGCTCTGTCACCCAGGCTGGAGTGTAGTGGCGCGATCTCAGCTCACTGCAACCTCCACCCCCCAGGTTCAAGCGATTATCCTGCCTCGGCCTCCCGAATAGCTGGGATTACAGGTGCGCGCCATCACGCCTGGCTAATTTTTGCATTTTTAGTGGAGACGGGGTTTCTCCATGTTGCCCAGGCTGGTCTCAAACTCCTGAGCTCAAGGGATCCACCCACCTGAGTCTCCCGAAGTGCTGAGATTACAGGCGTGAGCCACCCCGTGTGGGCTGTAGTATATTTTAGTGTTTACTTTGAAAAGAATAATGCTTTGTACACCCATGTGGAGCAGTGTGACTGCACAAGATAACTGAAGTTTTTAAAAAGCAAAGCAAACCATAGTGCTCTAAAGGCTGGGATGGGGCACTGATTTAAAGTTGTTTGAGGACGGTATCATTTTTGACCTGTCTTTCCTTGCTTGTCCATTAGCCTCATCTGGGAGAAGATTGAGCCTCCATCTGAGGAGGTCCTGGGTGATCTGGGCCCGGCCATGGGATTTCCACGCTTGGCTGTTTGGGGTCTGGGGCTGCCCAGGTCTCTTTGCTGAGGCAGCTCACTGGGGAGGGTCAGGTCTGATCTGGAAGAGCAGGTGCCTGGACATGTGCATGGGGTAGAGCGACCAGTGTGGTTAAGGTTGTGGCCTGGACCCTGTGTGGTCAGGCGGAGGCGGTCTGCATGTTACCTCTGCTGGTCATCATAGAAATGGGTGGCACTGGCCGAGAAAAGCAGTTCTCCAAGCTGGGCCCAGGCCTCTCTGGGGGTCCCCCAACACCCTCCGGAGATCCACAGGTCAAAAGTGTTTCCATAAGAATAGTCATAGGACTCTGGGTTTTATCCTGTCACAAATGTACAGAAAAGGAGAAGTTCATTGATGTGGTTTCAGATGCCACATTTGAACTAATCTTTAAGAAATTACCATCTGTTGAGTTTGGGTGCAATATCAAAGAAAAATATTTACAATTTCTGGAAAGTAAAAAAAGTCCTCCTCTTTTCAGCCATCATACGTATTTGTGAGGGTCTGGATGTCCTTCAAGGACTTCAGCGAAACAACCTGCCACAAATGCGTGAATGAAAAATCAGATATGAAGGTCCAGCTGTTTTTTGTGAAGTCAAACATTAAAAAGAGTTGTAAAAATGTAAAACAGTGTCATTTGTCTAATTGCTTTGTAAGTGTAGTTTTTCATAAAATATGTAAATTATGTGAACGTCTAATGGGTTTATTATTTTTAATGAATTAACAACATTTTAAAGATTTTCTCAGTTTTAATTTCTAGTGTGGTAACTAGCAATGGTCATAGCCCATGTATTTTGGAGTTCTCAAGAATATATGTATATCTATATATTTTTTGAGACGGAGTTTCGCTCTTTTTGCCCAGGCTGGAGTGCAATGGCTTGATCTCGGCTCACTGCAACCTCCACCTCCAGGGTTCAAGCAATTCTCCTGCCTCAGCCTCCTCAGTAGCTGGGATTACAGGCACTCGCCACCACACCCAGCTAATTTTTTTTGTATTTTTAGTAGAGGCGGGGTTTCACCATATTGGCCAGGCTGGTCTTGAACTCCTGACCTCAAGCAATCCTCCTGCCTTGGCCTCCCAAAGTGCTGGGATTACAGGCCTCAGCCACCATGTCTGGCCTGTGAATGAGTTATAATTCATTTTTTTTTTCATGGTCTGTGTTTGTGCTGAAGTTGTAATTCACATGCCATAAAATTCACACTTTTAAAGGGTGCGATTCAGTGGTTTTAGTGTATTCTTGAAATGTGTGACCATCACCACTGTCTAATCCAGAACATTTTTACGACCCCAAAAAGAAGTCCTGAACCCACTGGGAGTCTGTTCCCCTCTTCCTGCAACCCCTGACAACCACTCCTCACCTTCCGTCTCTCTAGATTTGCTTATTCTGGACACACTGTATAAACGGAATCATACAATACGTGGTCTTTTATGACTGGCTTTTCTTACTTAGGATGTTTTAAAGATTCATCCATGTTGTAGCTGGTATTAGCACTTCATTCCTTTTTACGGCCAAATAATAATCCATTGTAAATCATACTCCATTGTAAATAATAATAATCCATTGTAAATAATAATCCATTGTAAATCATAATCCATTGTAAATAATAATCATCGTATGGATATAGCACATTTTCCTCATTCATCAGTTGATGGATATTTTCGTTGTTTCTGCTTTTGGCGGTCATGAATAGTGCTGCTAAGAACGTTTGTGTACAGGTTTTGGTGAGGACGTATGTTTTGGGTA